>NC_000023.11:58988981-59064833 GCF_000001405.40 Homo sapiens | reverse complement strand
GAAGCATTCTCAGAAAGTTTTCTGCGATGACTGCATTCAACTCACAGAGTTGAACAATCCTTTTGATGGAGCCCCCTCCTCTCCTTTCCTTTCCTTTTAGTAGGGATAGGTTCTTGCTCATTTGCCCATGCTAGAGTACAGTGGCGCCATCATAGCTCACTGCAGCCACGAACTTCTGGGCTCAAGTGATCCTCCCACCTAAGCCTCCCGAAGCACTGGGATTAGAGGTGTGAGCCACCGTACCCAGTCTGTCTAGGTTTGATGTGAAGATATAGACGTTTCAAACGAAGGCTACAAAGTGGTCAAAATATACACTTGCAGATTCTACTACAAGGGTGTTGCAAACCTGAACTATCAAAGGAAGGTTCAACTCTGTGAGTTGAATACAAACATCACAAAGAATGTTCTGAGTTTGCTTCCGTTCAGTTATGGGAAGTTGATCCCGTTTCCAACGAAATCCTCAGAGAGGTCCAAATATCCCCTTGCAGATTCTACAAAACGTGTGTTTGGAAACTGCTCCATCATAACGAATGTTCAGCTCTCTGAGTTAAACTCCATCGTCACAAAGAATTTTCTGAGAGTGCTACCGTCTAGTTTTTATATGAAGTTCTTTCCTTTACTACCACAGGCCTCAAAGCGGTCCAAATCTCCACTTGCAGATTCTACAAAAAGAGTGTTTGCAAACTGCTCTATCAAAAGGAATGTTCAACTCTGGGAGTTGCATGCAATCATCACAGAGCAGTTTCTGAGAATGCTTCTATGTCGTTTTTAGGAGAAGATATTTCCTTTTCCAACACAGTGCTCCAAGCCCGCTAAATATCCACTTGCACATTGTAGAAAAAGTGTGTCGAAGCTGCGCTATCAAAGGGAAAGTTCAACTCTGTGAGGTGAATGCAAACATCCCAAAGAAGTTTCTGTGAATGCTTCCGTTTAGCTTTTAGGTGAAGATTATCCCTTTTCCAACGAAACCTTCAAAGAGGTCCAAATATCCCCTTGCGGATCCCACAGAAAGAGTGTTTCGAAACTGCTGTTTCAAAAGGAATCTTCAACTCTGTGAGTTGAAAGCAATCATCACAAAGAAGTTTCTGACAATGCTTCTCTCTCGTCTTTCTGCGAAGATAAAGGAAAAGGCTTTCAGGCCTTTTCCACCACAGGCCTGAAAGCGCTCCAAATGTCCACTTGCAGATTCTGCCAAAAGAATATTTCAAAACTGCTCTATGAAAAGCAATGTTAAACTCTGTGGCTCGAACACAAACATCACAAAGCAGTTTCTGAGAATGCTTCAGTTTAGTTTTTCTGTGGAAATATTCCCGTTTCCAAAGAAATCTTCAAAGAGGTCCACGCATCCACTTACAGATTCTACAAAAAGACAGTTTCAAAACTGCTCAATCAAAAGGAGGGTTCAACTGTGTGACTTGAATGCAATCATCACTCAGAAGTTTCTGAGAACGCTTCTCTTTAGTTTTTACGTGAACATATACCCGTTTCGAACGAAGGCCACCCAGTGGTCCAAATATCCACTTGCAGATTCTACAGAAAGAGTGTTTCGAACCTGAACTCTCAAATTCAGGTTCATCTCTGCGAGTTCAATGCATTCATCATGAAGAACTTTCTCAGCGTGTTTGTGTTTAGGTATGGGAAATTATTCCCGTTTCCAACGAAATCCTCAGAGAGGTCCAAATATCCACCTGCAGATTCTACCAAAAGTGTATTTGGAAACTGCTCCATCAAAAGGAATGTTCAGCTCTGTGAGTGAAACTCCATCATCACAAAGAATATTCTGAGAAGGCTTCCGTTTGCCTTTTATATGAAGTTCCTTCCTATACGACCGTAGGCCTCAAAGCAGTCCAAATCTCCATTTGCAGATTCTACAAAAAGAGTGATTCCAATCTGCTCTATCAATAGGACTGTTCAACTCCATGAGTTGAATGCCATCCTCACAAAGTAGTTTCTGAGAATGCTTCTATCTAGTTTTTATGTGAAGATATTTCCTTTTCCACCACAGGCCTCAAAGCCCTCCAAACGTCCACTTGCAGATTCTCGAAAAAGAGTGTTTCATAGCTGCTCTTTCAAAAGGAAAGTTCAACTCTGGGAGCTGAATACAAACATCACAAAGTAGTTTCCGAGAATGCTTCTGTTTAGTTCTTATGTGAAGATGATCCCGTTTCCAGTGAAATCTTCAAAGAGGTCCACATATCCCCTTGCAGATTCCAAAGAAAGAGGGTTTCAAAACTGCTCCATCAAAAGGATTGTTCAACTCTGTGAGTTGAATGCAGTCATCACAGAAAACTTTCTGAGAATGCTTCTGTCTCGGTTTGATGTGAAGATATAGACGTTTCAAACGAAGGCTACAAAGTGGTCAAAATATACACTTGCAGATTCTACTACAAGGGTGATGCAAACCTGAAATATCAAAGGAAGGTTCAACTCTGTGAGTTGAATACAAACATCACAAAGAATGTTCTGAGTTTGCTTCTGTTCAGTTATGGGAAGTTGATCCCGTTTCCAACGAAATCCTCAGAGAGGTCCAAATATCCCCTTGCAGATTCTACAAAACGTGTGTTTGGAAACTGCTCCATCATAACGAATGTTCAGCTCTCTGAGTTAAACTCCATCGTCACAAAGAATTTTCTGAGAGTGCTACCGTCTAGTTTTTATATGAAGTTCTTTCCTTTACTACCACAGGCCTCAAAGCGGTCCAAATCTCCACTTGCAGATTCTACAAAAAGAGTGTTTGCAAACTGCTCTATCAAAAGGAATGTTCAACTCTGGGAGTTGAATGCAATCATCACAGAGCAGTTTCTGAGAATGCTTCTATGTCGTTTTTAGGAGAAGATATTTCCTTTTCCAACACAGTCCTCCAAGCCCGCTAAATATCCACTTGCACATTGTAGAAAAAGTGTGTCAAAGCTGCGCTATCAAAGGGAAAGTTCAACTCTGTGAGGTGAATGC
Source organism: Homo sapiens (assembly GCF_000001405.40). Classification (NCBI taxonomy): domain Eukaryota; kingdom Metazoa; phylum Chordata; class Mammalia; order Primates; family Hominidae; genus Homo; species Homo sapiens. The sequence continues at coordinate 59,061,881 of NC_000023.11, read as the reverse complement.
AAACATCCCAAAGAAGTTTCTGAGAATGCTTCCGTTTAGCTTTTAGGTGAAGATTATCCCGTTTCCAACGAAATCTTCAAAGAGGTCCAAATATCCCCTTGCGGATCCCACAGAAAGAGTGTTTCGAAACTGCTGTTTCAAAAGGAATCTTCAACTCTGTGAGTTGAATGCAATGATCACAAAGAAGTTTCTGACAATGCTTCTCTCTCGTCTTTCTGTGAAGATAAAGGAAAAGGCTTTCAGGCCTTTTCCACCACAGGCCTGAAAGCACTCCAAATGTCCACTTGCAGATTCTGCCAAAAGAATATTTCAAAACTGCTCTATGAAAAGCAATGTTAAACTCTGTGGCTCGAACACAAACATCACAAAGCAGTTTCTGAGAATGCTTCAGTTTAGTTTTTCTGTGGAAATATTCCCGTTTCCAAAGAAATCTTCAAAGAGGTCCACGCATCCACTTACAGATTCTACAAAAAGACAGTTTCAAAACTGCTCCATCAAAAGGAGGGTTCAACTGTGTGACTTGAATGCAATCATCACTCAGAAGTTTCTGAGAACGCTTCTCTTTAGTTTTTACGTGAACATATACCCGTTTCGAACGAAGGCCAGCCAGTGGTCCAAATATCCACTTGCAGATTCTACAGAAAGAGTGTTTCGAACCTGAACTCTCAAAGGCAGGTTCATCTCTGCGAGTTAAATGCATTCATCATGAAGAACTTTCTCAGCGTGTTTGTGTTTAGTTATGGGAAATTATTCCCGTTTCCAACGAAATCCTCAGAGAGGTCCAAATATCCACCTGCAGATTCTACCAAAAGTGTATTTGGAAACTGCTCCATCAAAAGGCATGTTCAGCTCTGTGAGTGAAACTCCATCATCACAAAGAATATTCTGAGAATGCTTCCGTTTGCCTTTTATATGAAGTTCCTTCCTATACTACCGTAGGCCTCAAAGCAGTCCAAATCTCCATTTGCAGATTCTACAAAAAGAGTGATTCCAATCTGCTCTATCAATAGGACTGTTCAACTCCATGAGTTGAATGCCATCCTCACAAAGTAGTTTCTGAGAATGCTTCTATCTAGTTTTTATGTGAAGATATTTCCTTTTCCACCACAGGCCTCAAAGCCCTCCAAACGTCCACTTGCAGATTCTCGAAAAAGAGTGTTTCATAGCTGCTCTTTCAAAAGGAAAGTTCAACTCTGGGAGTTGAATACAAACATCACAAAGTAGTTTCCGAGAATGCTTCTGTTTAGTTCTTATGTGAAGATGATCCCGTTTCCAGTGAAATCTTCAAAGAGGTCCACATATCCCCTTGCAGATTCCAAAGAAAGAGGGTTTCAAAACTGCTCCATCAAAAGGATTGTTCAACTCTGTGAGTTGAATGCAGTCATCGCAGAAAACTTTCTGAGAATGCTTCTGTCTAGGTTTGATGTGAAGATATAGACGTTTCAAACGAAGACTACAAAGTGGTCAAAATATACACTTGCAGATTGTACTACAAGGGTGTTGCAAACCTGAACTATCAAAGGAAGGTTCAACTCTGTGAGTTGAATACAAACATCGCAAAGAATGTTCTGAGTTTGCTTCCGTTCAGTTATGGGAAGTTGATCCCGTTTCCAACGAAATCCTCAGAGAGGTCCAAATATCCCCTTGCAGATTCTACAAAACGTGTGTTTGGAAACTGCTCCATCATAACGAATGTTCAGCTCCCTGAGTTAAACTCCATCGTCACAAAGAATTTTCTGAGAGTGCTACCGTCTGGTTTTTATATGAAGTTCTTTCCTTCACTACCACAGGCCTCAAAGTGGTCCAAATCTCCACTTGCAGATTCTACAAAAAGAGTGTTTGCAAACTGCTCTATCAAAAGGAATGTTCAACTCTGGGAGTTGAATGCAATCATCACAGAGCAGTTTCTGAGAATGCTTCTATGTCGTTTTTAGGAGAAGATATTTCCTTTTCCAACACAGTCCTCCAAGCCCGCTAAATAGCCACTTGCACATTGTAGAAAAAGTGTGTCAAAGCTGCGCTATCAAAGGGAAAGTTCAACTCTGTGAGGTGAATGCAAACATCCCAAAGAAGTTTCTGAGAATGCTTCCGTTTAGCTTTTAGGTGAAGATTATCCCGTTTCCAACGAAACCTTCAAAGAGGTCCAAATATCCTCTTGCGGATCCCACAGAAAGAGTGTTTCGAAACTGCTGTTTCAAAAGGAATCTTCAACTCTGTGAGTTGAATGCAATCATCACAAAGAAGTTTCTGACAATGCTTCTCTCTCGTCTTTCTGTGAAGATAAAGGAAAAGGCTTTCAGGCCTTTTCCACCACAGGCCTGAAAGCGCTCCAAATGTCCACTTGCAGATTCTGCGAAAAGAATATTTCAAAACTGCTCTATGAAAAGCAATGTTAAACTCTGTGGCTCGAACACAAACATCACAAAGCGGTTTCTGAGAATGCTTCAGTTTAGTTTTTCTGTGGAAATATTTCCGTTTCCAAAGAAATCTTCAAAGTGGTCCACGTATCCACTTACAGATTCTACAAAAAGACAGTTTCAAAACTGCTCCATCAAAAGGAGGGTTCAACTGTGTGACTTGAATGCAATCATCACTCAGAAGTTTCTGAGAATGCTTCTCTTTAGTTTTTACGTGAACATATACCCGTTTCGAACGAAGGCCAGCCAGTGGTCCAAATATCCACTTGCAGATTCTACAGAAAGAGTGTTTCGAACCTGAACTCTCAAAGGCAGGTTCATCTCTGCGAGTTAAATGCATTCATCATGAAGAACTTTCTCAGAGTGTTTGTGTTTAGTTATGGGAAATTATTCCCGTTTCCAACGAAATCCTCAGAGAGCTCCAAATATCCACCTGCAGATTCTACCAAAAGTGTATTTGGAAACTGCTCCATCAAAAGGCATGTTCAGCTCTGTGAGTGAAACTCCATCATCACAAAGAATATTCTGAGAATGCTTCCGTTTGCCTTTTATATGAAGTTCCTTCCTATACGACCGTAGGCCTCAAAGCAGTCCAAATCTCCATTTGCAGATTCTACAAAAAGAGTGATTCCAATCTGCTCTATCAATAGGATTGTTCAACTCCATGAGTTGAATGCCATCCTCACAAAGTCGTTTCTGAGAATGCTTCTATCTAGTTTTTATGTGAAGATATTTCCTTTTCCACCACAGGCCTCAAAGCCCTCCAAACGTCCACTTGCAGATTCTCGAGAAAGAGTGTTTCATAGCTGCTCTTTCAAAAGGAAAGTTCAACTCTGGGAGTTGAATACAAACATCACAAAGTAGTTTCCGAGAATGCTTCTGTTTAGTTTTTATGTGAAGATGATCCCGTTTCCAGTGAAATCTTCAAAGAGGTCCACATATCCCCTTGCAGATTCCAAAGAAAGAGGGTTTCAAAACTGCTCCATCAGAAGGATTGTTCAACTCTGTGAGTTGAATGCAGTCATCGCAGAAAACTTTCTGAGAATGCTTCTGTCTAGGTTTGATGTGAAGATATAGACGTTTCAAACGAAGGCTACAAAGTGGTCAAAATATACACTTGCAGATTCTACTACAAGGGTGTTGCAAACCTGAACTATCAAAGGAAGGTTGAACTCTGTGAGTTGAATACAAACATCACAAAGAATGTTCTGAGTTTGCTTCCGTTCAGTTATGGGAAGTTGATCCCGTTTCCAAAGAAATCCTCAGAGAGGTCCAAATATCCCCTCGCAGATTCTACAAAACGTGTGTTTGGAAACTGCTCCATCATAACGAATGTTCAGCTCCCTGAGTTAAACTCCATCGTCACAAAGAATTTTCTGAGAGTGCTACCGTCTGGTTTTTATATGAAGTTCTTTCCTTCACTACCACAGGCCTCAAAGCGGTCCAAATCTCCACTTGCAGATTCTACAAAAAGAGTGTTTGCAAACTGCTCTATCAAAAGGAATGTTCAACTCTGGGAGTTGAATGCAATCATCACAGAGCAGTTTCTGAGAATGCTTCTATGTCGTTTTTAGGAGAAGATATTTCCTTTTCCAACACAGTCCTCCAAGCCCGCTAAATAGCCACTTGCACATTGTAGAAAAAGTGTGTCAAAGCTGCGCTATCAAAGGGAAAGTTCAACTCTGTGAGGTGAATGCAAACATCCCAAAGAAGTTTCTGAGAATGCTTCCGTTTAGCTTTTAGGTGAAGATTATCCCGTTTCCAACGAAACCTTCAAAGAGGTCCAAATATCCCCTTGCGGATCCCACAGAAAGAGTGTATCGAAACTGCTGTTTCAAAAGGAATCTTCAACTCTGTGAGTTGAATGCAATCATCACAAAGAAGTTTCTGACAATGCTTCTCTCTCGTCTTTCTGTGAAGATAAAGGAAAAGGCTTTCAGGCCTTTTCCACCACAGGCCTGAAAGCGCTCCAAATGTCCACTTGCAGATTCTGTGAAAAGAATATTTCAAAACTGCTCTATGAAAAGCAATGTTAAACTCTGTGGCTCGAACACAAACATCACAAAGCAGTTTCTGAGAATGCTTCAGTTTAGTTTTTCTGTGGAAATATTCCCGTTTCAAAGAAATCTTCAAAGAGGTCCACGTATCCACTTACAGATTCTACAAAAAGACAGTTTCAAAACTGCTCCATCAAAAGGAGGGTTCAACTGTGTGACTTGAATGCAATCATCACTCAGAAGTTTCTGAGAATGCTTCTCTTTAGTTTTTACGTGAACATATACCCGTTTCGAACGAAGGCCACCCAGTGGTCCAAATATCCACTTGCAGATTCTACAGAAAGAGTGTTTCGAACCTGAACTCTCAAAGGCAGGTTCATCTCTGCGAGTTAAATGCATTCATCATGAAGAACTTTCTCAGAGTGTTTGTGTTTAGTTATGGGAAATTATTCCCGTTTCCAACGAAATCCTCAGAGAGCTCCAAATATCCACCTGCAGATTCTACCAAAAGTGTATTTGGAAACTGCTCCATCAAAAGGCATGTTCAGCTCTGTGAGTGAAACTCCATCATCACAAAGAATATTCTGAGAATGCTTCCGTTCGCCTTTTATATGAAGTTCCTTCCTATACTACCGTAGGCCTCAAAGCAGTCCAAATCTCCATTTGCAGATTCTACAAAAAGAGTGATTCCAATCTGCTCTATCAATAGGATTGTTCAACTCCATGAGTTGAATGCCATCCTCACAAAGTAGTTTCTGAGAATGCTTCTATCTAGTTTTTATGTGAAGATATTTCCTTTTCCACCACAGGCCTCAAAGCCCTCCAAACGTCCACTTGCAGATTCTAGAAAAAGAGTGTTTCATAGCTGCTCTTTCAAAAGGAAAGTTCAACTCTGGGAGTTGAATACAAACATCACAAAGAATTTTCTGAGTTTGCTTCCGTTCAGTTATGGGAAGTTGATCCCGTTTCCAACGAAATCCTCAGAGAGGTCCAAATATCCCCTTGCAGATTCTACAAAACGTGTGTTTGGAAACTGCTCCATCATAACGAATGTTCAGCTCCCTGAGTTAAACTCCATCGTCACAAAGAATTTTCTGAGAGTGCTACCGTCTGGTTTTTATATGAAGTTCTTTCCTTTACTACCATAGGCCTCAAAGCGGTCCAAATCTCCACTTGCAGATTCTACAAAAAGAGTGTTTGCAAACTGCTCTATCAAAAGGAATGTTCAACCCTGGGAGTTGAATGCAATCATCACAGAGCAGTTTCTGAGAATGCTTCTATGTCGTTTTTAGGAGAAGATATTTCCTTTTCCAACACAGTCCTCCACGCCCGCTAAATATCCACTTGCACATTGTAGAAAAAGTGTGTCAAAGCTGCGCTATCAAAGGGAAAGTTCAACTCTGTGAGGTGAATGCAAACATCCCAAAGAAGTTTCTGAGAGTGCTTCCGTTTAGCTTTTAGGTGAAGATTATCCCGTTTCCAACGAAAGCTTCAAAGAGGTCCAAATATCCCCTTGCGGATCCCACAGAAAGAGTGTTTCGAAACTGCTGTTTCAAAAGGAATCTTCAACTCTGTGAGTTGAATGCAATCATCACAAAGAAGTTTCTGACAATGCTTCTCTCTCGTCTTTCTGTGAAGATAAAGGAAAAGGCTTTCAGGCCTTTTCAACCACAGGCCTGAAAGCGCTCCAAATGTCCACTTGCAGATTCTGCCAAAAGAATATTTCAAAACTGCTCTATGAAAAGCAATGTTAAACTCTGTGGCTCGAACACAAACATCACAAAGCAGTTTCTGAGAATGCTTCAGTTTAGTTTTTCTGTGGAAATATTCCCGTTTCCAAAGAAATATTCAAAGAGGTCCACGTATCCACTTACAGATTTTACAAAAAGACAGTTTCAAAACTGCTCAATCAAAAGGAGGGTTCAACTGTGTGACTTGAATGTAATCATCACTCAGAAGTTTCTGAGAATGCTTCTCTTTAGTTTTTACGTGAACATATACCCGTTTCGAACGAAGGCCAGCCAGTGGTCCAAATATCCACTTGCAGATTCTACAGAAAGAGTGTTTCGAACCTGAACTCTCAAAGGCAGGTTCATCTCTGCGAGTTAAATGCATTCATCATGAAGAACTTTCTCAGAGTGTTTGTGTTTAGTTATGGGAAATTATTCCCGTTTCCAACGAAATCCTCAGAGAGCTCCAAATATCCACCTGCAGATTCTACCAAAAGTGTATTTGGAAACTGCTCCATCAAAAGGCATGTTCAGCTCTGTGAGTGAAACTCCATCATCACAAAGAATATTCTGAGAATGCTTCCGTTTGCCTTTTACATGAAGTTCCTTCCTATACGACCGTAGGCCTCAAAGCAGTCCAAATCTCCATTTGCAGATTCTACAAAAAGAGTGATTCCAATCTGCTCTATCAATAGGATTGTTCAACTCCATGAGTTGAATGCCATCCTCACAAAGTAGTTTCTGAGAATGCTTCTATCTAGTTTTTATGTGAAGATATTTCCTTTTCCACCACAGGCCTCAAAGCCCTCCAAACGTCCACTTGCAGATTCTCGAAAAAGAGTGTTTCATAGCTGCTCTTTCAAAAGGAAAGTTCAACTCTGGGAGTTGAATACAAACATCACAAAGTAGTTTCCGAGAATGCTTCTGTTTAGTTTTTATGTGAAGATGATCCCGTTTCCAGTGAAATCTTCAAAGAGGTCCACATATCCCCTTGCAGATTCCAAAGAAAGAGGGTTTCAAAACTGCTCCATCAGAAGGATTGTTCAACTCTGTGAGTTGAATGCAGTCATCGCAGAAAACTTTCTGAGAATGCTTCTGTCTAGGTTTGATGTGAAGATATAGACGTTTCAAACGAAGGCTACAAAGTGGTCAAAATATACACTTGCAGATTCTACTACAAGGGTGTTGCAAACCTGAACTATCAAAGGAAGGTTCAACTCTGTGAGTTGAATACAAACATCACAAAGAATGTTCCGAGTTTGCTTCCGTTCAGTTATGGGAAGTTGATCCCGTTTCCAACGAAATCCTCAGAGAGGTCTAAATATCCCCTTGCAGATTCTACAAAACGTGTGTTTGGAAACTGCTCCATCATAACGAATGTTCAGCTCCCTGAGTTAAACTCCATCGTCACAAAGAATTTTCTGAGAGTGCTACCGTCTGGTTTTTATATGAAGTTCTTTCCTTCACTACCACAGGCCTCAAAGCGGTCCAAATCTCCACTTGCAGATTCTACAAAAAGAGTGTTTGCAAACTGCTCTATCAAAAGGAATGTTCAACTCTGGGAGTTGAATGCAATCATCACAGAGCAGTTTCTGAGAATGCTTCTATGTCGTTTTTAGGAGAAGATATTTCCTTTTCCAACACAATCCTCCAAGCCCGCTAAATAGCCACTTGCACATTGTAGAAAAAGTGTGTCAAAGCTGCGCTATCAAAGGGAAAGTTCAACTCTGTGAGGTGAATGCAAACATCCCAAAGAAGTTTCTGAGAATGCTTCCGTTTAGCTTTTAGGTGAAGATTATCCCGTTTCCAACGAAACCTTCAAAGAGGTCCAAATATCCCCTTGCGGATCCCACAGAAAGAGTGTTTCGAAACTGCTGTTTCAAAAGGAATCTTCAACTCTGTGAGTTGAATGCAATCATCACAAAGAAGTTTCTGACAATGCTTCTCTCTCGTCTTTCTGTGAAGATAAAGGAAAAGGCTTTCAGGCCTTTTCCACCACAGGCCTGAAAGCGCTCCAAATGTCCACTTGCAGATTCTGCCAAAAGAATATTTCAAAACTGCTCTATGAAAAGCAATGTTAAACTCTGTGGCTGGAACACAAACATCACAAAGCGGTTTCTGAGAATGTTTCAGTTTAGTTTTTCTGTGGAAATATTCCCGTTTCCAAAGAAATCTTCAAAGAGGTCCACGTATCCACTTACAGATTCTACAAAAAGACAGTTTCAAAACTGCTCCATCAAAAGGAGGGTTCAACTGTGTGACTTGAATGCAATCATCACTCAGAAGTTTCTGAGAATGCTTCTCTTTAGTTTTTACGTGAACATATACCCGTTTCGAACGAAGGCCACCCAGTGGTCCAAATATCCACTTGCAGATTATACAGAAAGAGTGTTTCGAACCTGAACTCTCAAAGGCAGGTTCATCTCTGCGAGTTAAATGCATTCATCATGAAGAACTTTCTCAGAGTGTTTGTGTTTAGTTATGGGAAATTATTCCCGTTTCCAACGAAATCCTCAGAGAGCTCCAAATATCCACCTGCAGATTCTACCAAAAGTGTATTTGGAAACTGCTCCATCAAAAGGCATGTTCAGCTCTGTCAGTGAAACTCCATCATCACAAAGAATATTCTGAGAATGCTTCCGTTTGCCTTTTATATGAAGTTCCTTCCTGTACTACCGTAGGCCTCAAAGCAGTCCAAATCTCCATTTGCAGATTCTATAAAAAGAGTGATTCCAATCTGCTCTATCAATAGGATTGTTCAACTCCATGATTTGAATGCCATCCTCACAAAGTAGTTTCTGAGAATGCTTCTATCTGGTTTTTGTGTGAAGATATTTCCTTTTCCACCACAGGCCTCAAAGCCCTCCAAACGTCCACTTGCAGATTCTCGAAAAAGAGTGTTTCATAGCTGCTCTTTCAAAAGGAAAGTTCAACTCTGGGAGTTGAATACAAACATCACAAAATAGTTTCCGAGAATGCTTCTGTTTAGTTTTTATGTGAAGATGATCCCGTTTCCAGTGAAATCTTCAAAGAGGTCCACATATCCCCTTGCAGATTCCAAAGAAAGAGGGTTTCAAAACTGCTCCATCAGAAGGATTGTTCAACTCTGTGAGTTGAATGCAGTCATCGCAGAAAACTTTCTGAGAATGCTTCTGTCTAGGTTTGATGTGAAGATATAGACGTTTCAAACGAAGGCTACAAAGTGGTCAAAATATACACTTGCAGATTCTACTACAAGGGTGTTGCAAACCTGAACTATCAAAGGAAGGTTCAACTCTGTGAGTTGAATACAAACATCACAAAGAATGTTCTGAGTTTGCTTCCGTTCAGTTATGGGAAGTTGATCCCGTTTCCAACGAAATCCTCAGAGAGGTCCAAATATCCCCTTGCAGATTCTACAAAACGTGTGTTTGGAAACTGCTCCATCATAACGAATGTTCAGCTCCCTGAGTTAAACTCCATCGTCACAAAGAATTTTCTGAGAGTGCTACCGTCTGGTTTTTATATGAAGTTCTTTCCTTCACTACCACAGGCCTCAAAGCGGTCCAAATCTCCACTTGCAGATTCTACAAAAAGAGTGTTTGCAAACTGCTCTATCAAAAGGAATGTTCAACTCTGGGAGTTGAATGCAATCGTCACAGAGCAGTTTCTGAGAATGCTTCTATGTCGTTTTTAGGAGAAGATATTTCGTTTTCCAACACAGTCCTCCAAGCCCGCTAAATAGCCACTTGCACATTGTAGAAAAAGTGTGTCAAAGCTGCGCTATCAAAGGGAAAGTTCAACTCTGTGAGGTGAATGCAAACATCCCAAAGAAGTTTCTGAGAATGCTTCCGTTTAGCTTTTAGGTGAAGATTATCCCGTTTCCAACGAAACCTTCAAAGAGGTCCAAATATCCCCTTGCGGATCCCACAGAAAGAGTGTTTCGAAACTGCTGTTTCAAAAGGAATCTTCAACTCTGTGAGTTGAATGCAATCATCACAAAGAAGTTTCTGACAATGCTTCTCTCTCGTCTTTCTGTGAACATAAAGGAAAAGGCGTTCAGGCCTTTGCCACCACAGGCCTGAAAGCGCTCCAAATGTCCACTTGCAGATTCTGCCAAAAGAATATTTCAAAACTGCTCTATGAAAAGCAATGTTAAACTCTGTGGCTCGAACACAAACATCACAAAGCGGTCTCTGAGAATGCTTCAGTTTAGTTTTTCTGTGGAAATATTCCCGTTTCCAAAGAAATCTTCAAAGAGGTCCACGTATCCACTTACAGATTCTACAAAAAGACAGTTTCAAAACTGCTCAATCAAAAGGAGGGTTCAACTCTGTGACTTGAATGCAATCATCACTCAGAAGTTTCTGAGAATGCTTCTCTTTAGTTTTTACGTGAACATATACCCGTTTCGAACGAAGGCCACCCAGTGGTCCAAATGTCCACTTGCAGATTCTACAGAAAGAGTGTTTCGAACCTGAACTCTCAAAGGCAGGTTCATCTCTGCGAGTTAAATGCATTCATCATGAAGAACTTTCTCAGCGTGTTTGTGTTTAGTTATGGGAAATTATTCCCGTTCCCAACGAAATCCTCAGAGAGGTCCAAATGTCCACCTGCAGATTCTACCAAAAGTGTATTTGGAAACTGCTCCATCAACAGGCATGTTCAGCTCTGTGAGTGAAACTCCATCATCACAAAGAATATTCTGAGAATGCTTCCGTTTGCCTTTTATATGAAGTTCCTTCCTATACGACCGTAGGCCTCAAAGCAGTGCAAATCTCCATTTGCAGATTCTACAAAAAGAGTGATTCCAATCTGCTCTATCAATAGGATTGTTCAACTCCATGAGTTGAATGCCATCCTCACAAAGTCGTTTCTGAGAATGCTTCTATCTAGTTTTTATGTGAAGATATTTCCTTTTCCACCACAGGCCTCAAAGCCCTCCAAACGTCCACTTGCAGATTCTCGAAAAAGAGTGTTTCATAGCTGCTCTTTCAAAAGGAAAGTTCAACTCTGGGAGTTGAATACAAACATCACAAAGTAGTTTCCGAGAATGCTTCTGTTTAGTTTTTATGTGAAGATGATCCCGTTTCCAGTGAAATCTTCAAAGAGGTCCACATATCCCCTTGCAGATTCCAAAGAAAGAGGGTTTCAAAACTGCTCCATCAGAAGGATTGTTCAACTCTGTGAGTTGAATGCAGTCATCGCAGAAAACTTTCTGAGAATGCTTCTGTCTAGGTTTGATGTGAAGATATAGACGTTTCAAACGAAGGCTACAAAGTGGTCAAAATATACACTTGCAGATTCTACTACAAGGGTGTTGCAAACCTGAACTATCAAAGGAAGGTTCAACTCTGTGAATTGAATACAAACATCACAAAGAATGTTCTGAGTTTGCTTCCGTTCAGTTATGGGAAGTTGATCCCGTTTCCAACGAAATCCTCAGAGAGGTCCAAATATCCCCTCGCAGATTCTACAAAACGTGTGTTTGGAAACTGCTCCATCATAACGAATGTTCAGCTCACTGAGTTAAACTCCATCGTCACAAAGAATTTTCTGAGAGTGCTACCGTCTGGTTTTTATATGAAGCTCTTTCCTTCACTACCACAGGCCTCAAAGCGGTCCAAATCTCCACTTGCAGATTCTACAAAAAGAGTGTTTGCAAACTGCTCTATCAAAAGGAATGTTCAACTCTGGGAGTTGAATGCAATCATCACAGAGCAGTTTCTGAGAATGCTTCTATGTCGTTTTTAGGAGAAGATATTTCCTTTTCCAACACAGTCCCCCAAGCCCGCTAAATAGCCACTTGCACATTGTGGAAAAAGTGTGTCAAAGCTGCGCTATCAAAGGGAAAGTTCAACTCTGTCAGGTGAATGCAAACATCCCAAAGAAGTTTCTGAGAATGCTTCCGTTTAGCTTTTAGGTGAAGATTATCCCGTTTCCAACGAAACCTTCAAAGAGGTCCAAATATCCCCTTGCGGATCCCACAGAAAGAGTGTTTCGAAACTGCTGTTTCAAAAGGAATCTTCAACTCTGTGAGTTGAATGCAATCATCACAAAGAAGTTTCTGACAATGCTTCTCTCTCGTCTTTCTGTGAAGATAAAGGAAAAGGCTTTCAGGCCTTTTCCACCACAGGCCTGAAAGCGCTCCAAATGTCCACTTGCAGATTCTGCCAAAAGAATATTTCAAAACTGCTCTATGAAAAGCAATGTTAAACTCTGTGGCTCGAACACAAACATCACAAAGCGGTTTCTGAGAATGCTTCAGTTTAGTTTTTCTGTGGAAATATTCCCGTTTCCAAAGAAATCTTCAAAGAGGTCCACGTATCCACTTACAGATTCTACAAAAAGACAGTTTCAAAACTGCTCCATCAAAAGGAGGGTTCAACCGTGTGACTTGAATGCAATCATCACTCAGAAGTTTCTGAGAATGCTTCTCTTTAGTTTTTACGTGAACATATACCCGTTTCGAACGAAGGCCAGCCAGTGGTCCAAATATCCACTTGCAGATTCTACAGAAGGAGTGTTTCGAACCTGAACTCTCAAAGGCAGGTTCATCTCTGCGAGTTAAATGCATTCATCATGAAGAACTTTCTCAGCGTGTTTGTGTTTAGTTATGGGAAATTATTCCCGTTTCCAACGAAATCCTCAGAGAGCTCCAAATATCCACCTGCAGATTCTACCAAAAGTGTATTTGGAAACTGCTCCATCAAAAGGCATGTTCAGCTCTGTGAGTGAAACTCCATCATCATAAAGAATATTCTTAGAATGCTTCCGTTTGCCTTTTATATGAAGTTCCTTCCTATACGACCGTAGGCCTCAAAGCAGTCCAAATCTCCATTTGCAGATTCTACAAAAAGAGTGATTCCAATCTGCTCTATCAATAGGATTGTTCAACTCCATGAGTTGAATGCCATCCTCACAAAGTCGTTTCTGAGAATGCTTCTATCTAGTTTTTATGTGAAGATATTTCCTTTTCCACCACAGGCCTCAAAGCCCTCCAAGCGTCCACTTGCAGATTCTCGAAAAAGAGTGTTTCATAGCTGCTCTTTCAAAAGGAAAGTTCAACTCTGGCAGTTGAATACAAACATCACAAAGTAGTTTCCGAGAATGCTTCTGTTTAGTTTTTATGTGAAGATGATCCCGTTTCCAGTGAAATCTTCAAAGAGGTCCACATATCCCCTTGCAGATTCCAAAGAAAGAGGGTTTCAAAACTGCTCCATCAGAAGGATTGTTCAACTCTGTGAGTTGAATGCAGTCATCGCAGAAAACTTTCTGAGAATGCTTCTGTCTAGGTTTGATGTGAAGATATAGACGTTTCAAACGAAGGCTACAAAGTGGTCAAAATATACACTTGCAGATTCTACTACAAGGGTGTTGCAAACCTGAACTATCAAAGGAAGGTTCAACTCTGTGAGTTGAATACAAACATCACAAAGAATGTTCTGAGTTTGCTTCCGTTCAGTTATGGGAAGTTGATCCCGTTTCCAACGAAATCCTCAGAGAGGTCCAAATATCCCCTTGCAGATTCTACAAAACGTGTGTTTGGAAACTGCTCCATCATAACGAATGTTCAGCTCCCTGAGTTAAACTCCATCGTCACAAAGAATTTTCTGAGAGTGCTACCGTCTGGTTTTTATATGAAGTTCTTTCCTTCACTACCACAGGCCTCAAAGCGGTCCAAATCTCCACTTGCAGATTCTACAAAAAGAGTGTTTGCAAACTGCTCTATCAAAAGGAATGTTCAACTCTGGGAGTTGAATGCAATCATCACAGAGCAGTTTCTGAGAATGCTTCTATGTCGTTTTTAGGAGAAGATATTTCCTTTTCCAACACAGTCCTCCAAGCCCGCTAAATAGCCACTTGCACATTGTAGAAAAAGTGTGTCAAAGCTGCGCTATCAAAGGGAAAGTTCAACTCTGTGAGGTGAATGCAAACATCCCAAAGAAGTTTCTGAGAATGCTTCCGTTTAGCTTTTAGGTGAAGATTATCCCGTTTCCAACGAAACCTTCAAAGAGGTCCAAATATCCCCTTGCGGATCCCACAGAAAGAGTGTTTCGAAACTGCTGTTTCAAAAGGAATCTTCAACTCTGTGAGTTGAATGCAATCATCACAAAGAAGTTTCTGACAATGCTTCTCTCTCGTCTTTCTGTGAAGATAAAGGAAAAGGCTTTCAGGCCTTTTCCACCACAGGCCTGAAAGCGCTCCAAATGTCCACTTGCAGATTCTGCGAAAAGAATATTTCAAAACTGCTCTATGAAAAGCAATGTTAAACTCTGTGGCTCGAACACAAACATCAAAAAGCGGTTTCTGAGAATGCTTCAGTTTAGTTTTTCTGTGGAAATATTCCCGTTTCCAAAGAAATCTTCAAAGAGGTCCACGTATCCACTTACAGATTCTACAAAAAGACAGTTTCAAAACTGCTCCATCAAAAGGAGGGTTCAACTGTGTGACTTGAATGCAATCATCACTCAGAAGTTTCTGAGAATGCTTCTCTTTAGTTTTTACGTGAACATATACCCGTTTCGAACGAAGGCCACCCAGTGGTCCAAATATCCACTTGCAGATTCTACAGAAAGAGTGTTTCGAACCTGAACTCTCAAAGGCAGGTTCATCTCTGCGAGTTAAATGCATTCATCATGAAGAACTTTCTCAGAGTGTTTGTGTTTAGTTATGGGAAATTATTCCCGTTTCCAACGAAATCCTCAGAGAGCTCCAAATATCCACCTGCAGATTCTACCAAAAGTGTATTTGGAAACTGCTCCATCAAAAGGCATGTTCAGCTCTGTGAGTGAAACTCCATCATCACAAAGAATATTCTGAGAATGCTTCCGTTTGCCTTTTATCTGAAGTTCCTTCCTATACGACCGTAGGCCTCAAAGCAGTCCAAATCTCCATTTGCAGATTTTACAAAAAGAGTGATTCCAATCTGCTCTATCAATAGGATTGTTCAACTCCATGAGTTGAATGCCATCCTCACAAAGTCGTTTCTGAGAATGCTTCTATCTAGTTTTTATGTGAAGATATTTCCTTTTCCACCACAGGCCTCAAAGCCCTCCAAACGTCCACTTGCAGATTCTCGAAAAAGAGTGTTTCATAGCTGCTCTTTCAAAAGGAAAGTTCAACTCTGGGAGTTGAATACAAACATCACAAAGTAGTTTCCGAGAATGCTTCTGTTTAGTTTTTATGTGAAGATGATCCCGTTTCCAGTGAAATCTTCAAAGAGGTCCACATATCCCCTTGCAGATTCCAAAGAAAGAGGGTTTCAAAACTGCTCCATCAGAAGGATTGTTCAACTCTGTGAGTTGAATGCAGTCATCGCAGAAAACTTTCTGAGAATGCTTCTTTCTAGGTTTGATGTGAAGATATAGACGTTTCAAACGAAGGCTACAAAGTGGTCAAAATATACACTTGCAGATTCTACTACAAGGGTGTTGCAAACCTGAACTATCAAAGGAAGGTTCAACTCTGTGAGTTGAATACAAACATCACAAAGAATGTTCTGAGTTTGCTTCCGTTCAGTTATGGGAAGTTGATCCCGTTTCCAACGAAATCCTCAGAGAGGCCCAAATATCCCCTTGCAGATTCTACAAAAAGTGTGTTTGGAAACTGCTCCATCATAACGAATGTTCAGCTCCCTGAGTTAAACTCCATCGTCACAAAGAATTTTCTGAGAGTGCTACCGTCTGGTTTTTATATGAAGTTCTTTCCTTCACTACCCCAGGCCTCAAAGCGGTCCAAATCTCCACTTCCAGATTCTACAAAAAGAGTGTTTGCAAACTGCTCTATCAAAAGGAATGTTCAACTCTGGGAGTTGAATGCAATCATCACAGAGCAGTTTCTGAGAATGCTTCTATGTCGTTTTTAGGAGAAGATATTTCCTTTTCCAACACAGTCCTCCAAGCCCGCTAAATAGCCACTTGCACATTGTAGAAAAAGTGTGTCAAAGCTGCGCTATCAAAGGGAAAGTTCAACTCTGTGAGGTGAATGCAAACATCCCAAAGAAGTTTCTGAGAGTGCTTCCGTTTAGCTTTTAGGTGAAGATTATCCCGTTTCCAACGAAACCTTCAAAGAGGTCCAAATATCCCCTTGCGGATCCCACAGAAAGAGTGTTTCGAAACTGCTGTTTCAAAAGGAATCTTCAACTCTGTGAGTTGAATGCAATCATCACAAAGAAGTTTCTGACAATGCTTCTCTCTCGTCTTTCTGTGAAGATAAAGGAAAAGGCTTTCAGGCCTTTTCCACCACAGGCCTGAAAGCGCTCCAAATGTCCACTTGCAGATTCTGCGAAAAGAATATTTCAAAACTGCTCTATGAAAAGCAATGTTAAACTCTGTGGCTCGAACACAAACATCACAAAGCAGTTACTGAGAATGCTTCAGTTTAGTTTTTCTGTGGAAATATTCCCGTTTCCAAAGAAATCTTCAAAGAGGTCCACGTATCCACTTACAGATTCTACAAAAAGACAGTTTCAAAACTGCTCCATCAAAAGGAGGGTTCAACTGTGTGACTTGAATGCAATCATCACTCAGAAGTTTCTGAGAATGCTTCTCTTTAGTTTTTACGTGAACATATACCCGTTTCGAACGAACGCCACCCAGTGGTCCAAATGTCCACTTGCAGATTCTACAGAAAGAGTGTTTCGAACCTGAACTCTCAAAGGCAGGTTCATCTCTGCGAGTTAAATGCATTCATCATGAAGAACTTTCTCAGAGTGTTTTGTGTTTAGTTATGGGAAATTATTCCCGTTTCCAACGAAATCCTCAGAGAGGTCCAAATATCCACCTGCAGATTCTACCAAAAGTGTATTTGGAAACTGCTCCATCAAAAGGCATGTTCAGCTCTGTGAGTGAAACTCCATCATCACAAAGAATATTCTGAGAATGCTTCCGTTTGCCTTTTATATGAAGTTCCTTCCTATACGACCGTAGGCCTCAAAGCAGTCCAAATCTCCATTTGCAGATTCTACAAAAAGAGTGATTCCAATCTGCTCTATCAATAGGATTGTTCAACTCCATGAGTTGAATGCCATCCTCACAAAGTCGTTTCTGAGAATGCTTCTATCTAGTTTTTATGTGAAGATATTTCCTTTTCCACCACAGGCCTCAAAGCCTTCCAAACGTCCACTTGCAGATTCTCGAAAAAGAGTGTTTCATAGCTGCTCTTTCAAAAGGAAAGTTCAACTCTGGGAGTTGAATACAAACATCACAAAGTAGTTTCCGAGAATGCTTCTGTTTAGTTTTTATGTGAAGATGATCCCGTTTCCAGTGAAATCTTCAAAGAGGTCCACATATCCCCTTGCAGATTCCAAAGAAAGAGGGTTTCAAAACTGCTCCATCAGAAGGATTGTTCAACTCTGTGAGTTGAATGCAGTCATCGCAGAAAACTTTCTGAGAATGCTTCTGTCTAGGTTTGATGTGAAGATATAGACGTTTCAAATGAAGGCTACAAAGTGGTCAAAATATACACTTGCAGATTCTACTACAAGGGTGTTGCAAACCTGAACTATCAAAGGAAGGTTCAACTCTGTGAGTTGAATACAAACATCACAAAGAATGTTCTGAGTTTGCTTCCGTTCAGTTATGGGAAGTTGATCCCGTTTCCAACGAAATCCTCAGAGAGGTCCAAATATCCCCTTGCAGATTCTACAAAACGTGTGTTTGGAAACTGCTCCATCATAACGAATGTTCAGCTCCCTGAGTTAAACTCCATCGTCACAAAGAATTTTCTGAGAGTGCTACCGTCTGGTTTTTATATGAAGTTCTTTCCTTCACTACCACAGGCCTCAATGCGGTCCAAATCTCCACTTGCAGATTCTACAAAAAGAGTGTTTGCAAACTGCTCTATCAAAAGGAATGTTCAACTCTGGGAGTTGAATGCAATCATCACAGAGCAGTTTCTGAGAATGCTTCTATGTCGTTTTTAGGAGAAGATATTTCCTTTTCCAACACAGTCCTCCAAGCCCGCTAAATAGCCACTTGCACATTGTAGAAAAAGTGTGTCAAAGCTGCGCTATCAAAGGGAAAGTTCAACTCTGTGAGGTGAATGCAAACATCCCAAAGAAGTTTCTGAGAATGCTTCCGTTTAGCTTTTAGGTGAAGATTATCCCGTTTCCAACGAAACCTTCAAAGAGGTCCAAATATCCCCTTGCGGATCCCACAGAAAGAGTGTTTCGAAACTGCTGTTTCAAAAGGAATCTTCAACTCTGTGAGTTGAATGCAATCATCACAAAGAAGTTTCTGACAATGCTTCTCTCTCGTCTTTCTGTGAAGATAAAGGAAAAGGCTTTCAGGCCTTTTCCACCACAGGCCTGAAAGCGCTCCAAATGTCCACTTGCAGATTCTGCCAAAAGAATATTTCAAAACTGCTCTATGAAAAGCAATGTTAAACTCTGTGGCTGGAACACAAACATCACAAAGCGGTTTCTGAGAATGTTTCAGTTTAGTTTTTCTGTGGAAATATTCCCGTTTCCAAAGAAATCTTCAAAGAGGTCCACGTATCCACTTACAGATTCTACAAAAAGACAGTTTCAAAACTGCTCCATCAAAAGGAGGGTTCAACTGTGTGACTTGAATGCAATCATCACTCAGAAGTTTCTGAGAATGCTTCTCTTTAGTTTTTACGTGAACATATACCCGTTTCGAACGAAGGCCACCCAGTGGTCCAAATATCCACTTGCAGATTCTACAGAAAGAGTGTTTCGAACCTGAACTCTCAAAGGCAGGTTCATCTCTGCGAGTTGAATGCATTCATCATGAAGAACTTTCTCAGAGTGTTTGTGTTTAGTTATGGGAAATTATTCCCGTTTCCAACGAAATCCTCAGAGAGCTCCAAATATCCACCTGCAGATTCTACCAAAAGTGTATTTGGAAACTGCTCCATCAACAGGCATGTTCAGCTCTGTGAATGAAACTCCATCATCACAAAGAATATTCTGAGAATGCTTCCGTTTGCCTTTTATATGAAGTTCCTTCCTATACGACCGTAGGCCTCAAAGCAGTGCAAATCTCCATTTGCAGATTCTACAAAAAGAGTGATTCCAATCTGCTCTATCAATAGGATTGTTCAACTCCATGAGTTGAATGCCATCCTCACAAAGTCGTTTCTGAGAATGCTTCTATCTAGTTTTTATGTGAAGATATTTCCTTTTCCACCACAGGCCTCAAAGCCCTCCAAACGTCCACTTGCAGATTCTCGAAAAAGAGTGTTTCATAGCTGCTCTTTCAAAAGGAAAGTTCAACTCTGGGAGTTGAATACAAACATCACAAAGTAGTTTCCGAGAATGCTTCTGTTTAGTTTTTATGTGAAGATGATCCCGTTTCCAGTGAAATCTTCAAAGAGGTCCACATATCCCCTTGCAGATTCCAAAGAAAGAGGGTTTCAAAACTGCTCCATCAATAGGATTGTTCAACTCTGTGAGTTGAATGCAGTCATCGCAGAAAACTTTCTGAGAATGCTTCTGTCTAGGTTTGATGTGAAGATATAGACGTTTCAAACGAAGGCTACAAAGTGGTCAAAATATACACTTGCAGATACTACTACAAGGGTGTTGCAAACCTGAACTATCAAAGGAAGGTTCAACTCTGTGAGTTGAATACAAACATCACAAAGAATGTTCTGAGTTTGCTTCCGTTCAGTTATGGGAAGTTGATCCCGTTTCCAACGAAATCCTCAGAGAGGTCCAAATATCCCCTTGCAGATTCTACAAAACGTGTTTTTGGAAACTGCTCCATCATAACGAATGTTCAGCTCCCTGAGTTAAACTCCATCGTCACAAAGAATTTTCTGAGAGTGCTACCGTCTGGTTTTTATATGAAGCTCTTTCCTTTACTACCCCAGGCCTCAAAGCGGTCAAAATCTCCACTTGCAGATTCTACAAAAAGAGTGTTTGCAAACTGCTCTATCAAAAGGAATGTTCAACTCTGGGAGTTGAATGCAATCATCACAGAGCAGTTTCTGAGAATGCTTCTATGTCGTTTTTAGGAGAAGATATTTCCTTTTCCAACACATTCCTCCAAGTCCGCTAAATAGCCACTTGCACATTGTAGAAAAAGTGTGTCAAAGCTGCGCTATCAAAGGGAAAGTTCAACTCTGAGAGGTGAATGCAAACATCCCAAAGAAGTTTCTGAGAGTGCTTCCGTTTAGCTTTTAGGTGAAGATTATCCCGTTTCCAACGAAACCTTCAAAGAAGTCCAAATATCCCCTTGCGGATCCCACAGAAAGAGTGTTTCGAAACTGCTGTTTCAAAAGGAATCTTCAACTCTGTGAGTTGAATGCAATCATCACAAAGAAGTTTCTGACAATGCTTCTCTCTCGTCTTTCTGTGAAGATAAATAAATGCTTTCAGGCCTTTGCCACCACAGGCCTGAAAGCGCTCCAAATGTCCACTTGCAGATTCTGCCAAAAGAATATTTCAAAACTGCTTTGTGAAAAGCAATGTTAAACTCTGTGGCTCGAACACAAACATCACAAAGCGGTTTCTGAGAATGCTTCAGTTTAGTTTTTCTGTGGAAATATTCCCGTTTCCAAAGAAATCTTCAAAGAGGTCCACGTATCCACTTACAGATTCTACAAAAAGACAGTTTCAAAACTGCTCCTTCAAAAGGAGGGTTCAACTGTGTGACTTGAATGCAATCATCACTCAGAAGTTTCTGAGAATGCTTCTCTTTAGTTTTTACGTGAACATATACCCGTTTCGAACGAAGGCCACCCAGTGGTCCAAATATCCACTTGCAGATTCTACAGAAAGAGTGTTTCGAACCTGAACTCTCAAAGGCAGGTTCATCTCTGGCGAGTTAAATGCATTCATCATGAAGAACTTTCTCAGAGTGTTTTTGTGTTTAGTTATGGGAAATTATTCCCGTTTCCAACGAAATCCTCAGAGAGCTCCAAATATCCACCTGCAGATTCTACCAAAAGTGTATTTGGAAACTGCTCCATCAAAAGGCATGTTCAGCTCTGTGAGTGAAACTCCATCATCACAAAGAATATTCTGAGAATGCTTCCGTTTGCCTTTTATATGAAGTTCCTTCCTATACGACCGTAGGCCTCAAAGCAGTCCAAATCTCCATTTGCAGATTCTACAAAAAGAGTGATTCCAATCTGCTCTATCAATAGGATTGTTCAACTCCATGAGTTGAATGCCATCCTCACAAAGTAGTTTCTGAGAATGCTTCTATCTAGTTTTTATGTGAAGATATTTCCTTTTCCACCACAGGCCTCAAAGCCCTCCAAACGTCCACTTGCAGATTCTCGAAAAAGAGTGTTTCATAGCTGCTCTTTCAAAAGGAAAGTTCAACTCTGGGAGTTGAATACAAACATCACAAAGTAGTTTCCGAGAATGCTTCTGTTTAGTTTTTATGTGAAGATGATCCCGTTTCCAGTGAAATCTTCAAAGAGGTCCACATATTCCCTTGCAGATTCCAAAGAAAGAGGGTTTCAAAACTGCTCCATCAGAAGGATTGTTCAACTCTGTGAGTTGAATGCAGTCATCGCAGAAAACTTTCTGAGAATGCTTCTGTCTAGGTTTGATGTGAAGATATAGACGTTTCAAACGAAGGCTACAAAGTGGTCAAAATATACACTTGCAGATTCTACTACAAGGGTGTTGCAAACCTGAACTATCAAAGGAAGGTTCAACTCTGTGAGTTGAATTCAAACATCACAAAGAATGTTCTGAGTTTGCTTCCGTTCAGTTATGGGAAGTTGATCCCGTTTCCAACGAAATCCTCAGAGAGGTCCAAATATCCCCTCGCAGATTCTACAAAACGTGTGTTTGGAAACTGCTCCATCATAACGAATGTTCAGCTCCCTGAGTTAAACTACATCGTCACAAAGAATTTTCTGAGAGTGCTACCGTCTGGTTTTTATATGAAGTTCTTTCCTTCACTACCACAGGCCTCAAAGCGGTCTAAATCTCCACTTGCAGATTCTACAAAAAGAGTGTTTGCAAACTGCTCTATCAAAAGGAATGTTCAACTCTGGGAGTTGAATGCAATCATCACAGAGCAGTTTCTGAGAATGCTTCTATGTCGTTTTTAGGAGAAGATATTTCCTTTTCCAACACAGTCCTCCAAGCCCGCTAAATAGCCACTTGCACATTGTAGAAAAAGTGTGTCAAAGCTGCGCTATCAAAGGGAAAGTTCAACTCTGTGAGGTGAATGCAAACATCCCAAAGAAGTTTCTGAGAATGCTTCCGTTTAGCTTTTAGGTGAAGATTATCCCGTTTCCAACGAAACCTTCAAAGAGGTCCAAATATCCCCTTGCGGATCCCACAGAAAGAGTGTTTCGAAACTGCTGTTTCAAAAGGAATCTTCAACTCTGTGAGTTGAATGCAATCATCACAAAGAAGTTTCTGACAATGCTTCTCTCTCGTCTTTCTGTGAAGGTAAAGGAAAAGGCTTTCAGGCCTTTTCCACCCACAGGCCTGAAAGCGCTCCAAATGTCCACTTGCAGATTCTGCCAAAAGAATATTTCAAAACTGCTCTATGAAAAGCAATGTTAAACTCTGTGGCTCGAACACAAACATCACAAAGCGGTTTCTGAGAATGCTTCAGTTTAGTTTTTCTGTGGAAATATTCCCGTTTCCAAAGAAATCTTCAAAGAGGTCCACGTATCCACTTACAGATTCTACAAAAAGACAGTTTCAAAACTGCTCCATCAAAAGGAGGGTTCAACTGTGTGACTTGAATGCAATCATCACTCAGAAGTTTCTGAGAATGCTTCTCTTTAGTTTTTACGTGAACATATACCCGTTTCGAACGAAGGCCAGCCAGTGGTCCAAATATCCACTTGCAGATTCTACAGAAAGAGTGTTTCGAACCTGAACTCTCAAAGGCAGGTTCATCTCTGCGAGTTAAATGCATTCATCATGAAGAACTTTCTCAGAGTGTTTGTGTTTAGTTATGGGAAATTATTCCCGTTTCCAACGAAATCCTCAGAGAGGTCCAAATATCCACCTGCAGATTCTACCAAAAGTGTATTTGGAAACTGCTCCATCAAAAGGCATGTTCAGCTCTGTGAGTGAAACTCCATCATCACAAAGAATATTCTGAGAATGCTTCCGTTTGCCTTTTATATGAAGTTCCTTCCTATACGACCGTAGGCCTCAAAGCAGTCCAAATCTCCATTTGCAGATTCTACAAAAAGAGTGATTCCAATCTGCTCTATCAATAGGATTGTTCAACTCCATGAGTTGAATGCCATCCTCACAAAGTCGTTTCTGAGAATGCTTCTATCTAGTTTTTATGTGAAGATATTTCCTTTTCCACCACAGGCCTCAAAGCCCTCCAAACGTCCACTTGCAGATTCTCGAAAAAGAGTGTTTCATAGCTGCTCTTTCAAAAGGAAAGTTCAACTCTGGGAGTTGAATACAAACATCACAAAGTAGTTTCCGAGAATGCTTCTGTTTAGTTTTTATGTGAAGATGATCCCGTTTCCAGTGAAATCTTCAAAGAGGTCCACATATCCCCTTGCAGATTCCAAAGAAAGAGGGTTTCAAAACTGCTCCATCAGAAGGATTGTTCAACTCTGTGAGTTGAATGCAGTCATCGCAGAAAACTTTCTGAGAATGCTTCTGTCTAGGTTTGATGTGAAGGTATAGACGTTTCAAACGAAGGCTACAAAGTGGTCAAAATATACACTTGCAGATTCTACTACAAGGGTGTTGCAAACCTGAACTATCAAAGGAAGGTTCAACTCTGTGAGTTGAATACAAACATCACAAAGAATGTTCTGAGTTTGCTTCCGTTCAGTTATGGGAAGTTGATCCCGTTTCCAACGAAATCCTCAGAGAGGTCCAAATATCCCCTTGCAGATTCTACAAAACGTGTGTTTGGAAACTGCTCCATCATAACGAATGTTCAGCTCCCTGAGTTAAACTCCATCGTCACAAAGAATTTTCTGAGAGTGCTACCGTCTGGTTTTTATATGAAGTTCTTTCCTTCACTACCACAGGCCTCAAAGCGGTCCAAATCTCCACTTGCAGATTCTACAAAAAGAGTGTTTGCAAACTGCTCTATCAAAAGGAATGTTCAACTCTGGGAGTTGAATGCAATCATCACAGAGCAGTTTCTGAGAATGCTTCTATGTCGTTTTTAGGAGAAGATATTTCCTTTTCCAACACAGTCCTCCAAGCCCGCTAAATAGCCACTTGCACATTGTAGAAAAAGTGTGTCAAAGCTGCGCTATCAAAGGGAAAGTTCAACTCTGTGAGGTGAATGCAAACATCCCAAAGAAGTTTGCTGAGAATGCTTCCGTTTAGCTTTTAGGTGAAGATTATCCCGTTTCCAACGAAACCTTCAAAGTAGGTCCAAATATCCCCTTGCGGATCCCACAGAAAGAGTGTTTCGAAACTGCTGTTTCAAAAGGAATCTTCAACTCTGTGAGTTGAATGCAATCATCACAAAGAAGTTTCTGACAATGCTTCTCTCTCGTCTTTCTGTGAAGATAAAGGAAAAGGCTTTCAGGCCTTTTCCACCACAGGCCTGAAAGCGCTCCAAATGTCCACTTGCAGATTCTGCCAAAAGAATATTTCAAAACTGCTCTATGAAAAGCAATGTTAAACTCTGCGGCTCGAACACAAACATCACAAAGCGGTTTCTGAGAATGCTTCAGTTTAGTTTTTCTGTGGAAATATTCCCGTTTCCAAAGAAATCTTCAAAGAGGTCCACGTATCCACTTACAGATTCTACAAAAAGACAGTTTCAAAACTGCTCCATCAAAAGGAGGGTTCAACCGTGTGACTTGAATGCAATCATCACTCAGAAGTTTCTGAGAATGCTTCTCTTTAGTTTTTACGTGAACATATACCCGTTTCGAACGAAGGCCACCCAGTGGTCCAAATATCCACTTGCAGATTCTACAGAAAGAGTGTTTCGAACCTGAACTCTCAAAGGCAGGTTCATCTCTGCGAGTTAAATGCATTCATCATGAAGAACTTTCTCAGAGTGTTTGTGTTTAGTTATGGGAAATTATTCCCCTTTCCAACGAAATCCTCAGAGAGCTCCAAATATCCACCTGCAGATTCTACCAAAAGTGTATTTGGAAACTGCTCCATCAAAAGGCATGTTCAGCTCTGTGAGTGAAACTCCATCATCACAAAGAATATTCTGAGAATGCTTCCGTTTGCCTTTTATATGAAGTTCCTTCCTGTACTACCGTAGGCCTCAAAGCAGTCCAAATCTCCATTTGCAGATTCTACAAAAAGAGTGATTCCAATCTGCTCTATCAATAGGATTGTTCAACTCCATGAGTTGAATGCCATCCTCACAAAGCAGTTTCTGAGAATGCTTCTATCTGGTTTTTGTGTGAAGATATTTCCTTTTCCACCACAGGCCTCAAAGCCCTCCAAACGTCCACTTGCAGATTCTCGAAAAAGAGTGTTTCATAGCTGCTCTTTCAAAAGGAAAGTTCAACTCTGGGAGTTGAATACAAACATCACAAAATAGCTTCCGAGATTGCTTCTGTTTAGTTTTTATGTGAAGATGATCCCGTTTCCAGTGAAATCTTCAAAGAGGTCCACATATCCCCTTGCAGATTCCAAAGAAAGAGGGTTTCAAAACTGCTCCATCAAAAGGATTGTTCAACTCTGTGAGTTGAATGCAGTCATCGCAGAAAACTTTCTGAGAATGCTTCTTTCTAGGTTTGATGTGAAGATATAGACGTTTCAAACGAAGGCTACAAAGTGGTCAAAATATACACTTGCAGATTCTACTACAAGGGTGTTGCAAACCTGAACTATCAAAGGAAGGTTCAACTCTGTGAGTTGAATACAAACATCACAAAGAATGTTCTGAGTTTGCTTCCGTTCAGTTATGGGAAGTTGATCCCGTTTCCAACGAAATCCTCAGAGAGGTCCAAATATCCCCTTGCAGATTCTACAAAACGTGTGTTTGGAAACTGCTCCATCATAACGAATGTTCAGCTCCCTGAGTTAAACTCCATCGTCACAAAGAATTTTCTGAGAGTGCTACCGTCTGGTTTTTATATGAAGCTCTTTCCTTCACTACCACAGACCTCAAAGCGGTCCAAATCTCCACTTGCAGATTCTACAAAAAGAGTGTTTGCAAACTGCTCTATCAAAAGGAATGTTCAACTCTGGGAGTTGAATGCAATCATCACAGAGCAGTTTCTGAGAATGCTTCTATGTCGTTTTTAGGAGAAGATATTTCCTTTTCCAACACAGTCCTCCAAGCCCGCTAAATAGCCACTTGCACATTGTAGAAAAAGTGTGTCAAAGCTGCGCTATCAAAGGGAAAGTTCAACTCTGTGAGGTGAATGCAAACATCCCAAAGAAGTTTCTGAGAATGCTTCCGTTTAGGTTTTAGGTGAAGATTATCCCGTTTCCAACGAAACCTTCAAAGAGGTCCAAATATCCCCTTGCGGATCCCACAGAAAGAGTGTTTCGAAACTGCTGTTTCAAAAGGAATCTTCAACTCTGTGAGTTGAATGCAATCATCACAAAGAAGTTTCTGACAATGCTTCTCTCTCGTCTTTCTGTGAAGATAAAGGAAAAGGCTTTCAGGCCTTTTCCACCACAGGCCTGAAAGCGCTCCAAATGTCCACTTGCAGATTCTGCCAAAAGAATATTTCAAAACTGCTCTATGAAAAGCAATGTTAAACTCTGTGGCTCGAACACAAACATCACAAAGCGGTTTCTGAGAATGCTTCAGTTTAGTTTTTCTGTGGAAATATTCCCGTTTCCAAAGAAATCTTCAAAGAGGTCCACGTATCCACTTACAGATTCTACAAAAAGACAGTTTCAAAACTGCTCCATCAAAAGGAGGGTTCAACTGTGTGACTTGAATGCAATCATCACTCAGAAGTTTCTGAGAATGCTTCTCTTTAGTTTTTACGTGAACATATACCCGTTTCGAACGAAGGCCACCCACTGGTCCAAATATCCACTTGCAGATTATACAGAAAGAGTGTTTCGAACCTGAACTCTCAAAGGCAGGTTCATCTCTGCAAGTTAAATGCATTCATCATGAAGAACTTTCTCAGCGTGTTTGTGTTTAGTTATGGGAAATTATTCCCTTTTCCAACGAAATCCTCAAAGAGCTCCAAATATCCACCTGCAGATTCTACCAAAAGTGTATTTGGAAACTGCTCCATCAAAAGGCATGTTCAGCTCTGTGAGTGAAACTCCATCATCACAAAGAATATTCTGAGAATGCTTCCATTTGCCTTTTATATGAAGTTCCTTCCTATACTACCGTAGGCCTCAAAGCAGTCCAAATCTCCATTTGCAGATTCTTCAAAAAGAGTGATTCCAATCTGCTCTATCAATAGGACTGTTCAACTCCATGAGTTGAATGCCATCCTCACAAAGTAGTTTCTGAGAATGTTTCCATCTAGTTTTTATGTGAAGATATTTCCTTTTCCACCACAGGCCTCAAAGCCCTCCAAACGTCCACTTGCAGATTCTCGAAAAAGAGTGTTTCATAGCTGCTCTTTCAAAAGGAAAGTTCAACTCTGGGAGCTGAATACAAACATCACAAAGTAGTTTCCGAGAATGCTTCTGTTTAGTTCTTATGTGAAGATGATCCCGTTTCCAGTGAAATCTTCAAAGAGGTCCACATATCCCCTTGCAGATTCCAAAGAAAGAGGGTTTCAAAACTGCTCCATCAAAAGGATTGTTCAACTCTGTGAGTTGAATGCAGTCATCGCAGAAAACTTTCTGAGAATGCTTCTGTCTAGGTTTGATGTGAAGATATAGACGTTTCAAACGAAGGCTACAAAGTGGTCAAAATATACACTTGCAGATTCTACTACAAGGGTGTTGCAAACCTGAACTATCAAAGGAAGGTTCAACTCTGTGAGTTGAATACAAACATCACAAAGAATGTTCTGAGTTTGCTTCCGTTCAGTTATGGGAAGTTGATCCCGTTTCCAACGAAATCCTCAGAGAGGTCCAAATATCCCCTTGCAGATTCTACAAAACGTGTGTTTGGAAACTGCTCCATCATAACGAATGTTCAGCTGCTCTGAGTTAAACTCCATCGTCACAAAGAATTTTCTGAGAGTGCTACCGTCTGGTTTTTATATGAAGTTCTTTCCTTCACTACCACAGGCCTCAAAGCGGTCCAAATCTCCACTTGCAGATTCTACAAAAAGAGTGTTTGCAAACTGCTCTATCAAAAGGAATGTTCAACTCTGGGAGTTGAATGCAATCATCACAGAGCAGTTTCTGAGAATGCTTCTATGTCGTTTTTAGGAGAAGATATTTCCTTTTCCAACACAGTCCTCCAAGCCCGCTAAATAGCCACTTGCACATTGTAGAAAAAGTGTGTCGAAGCTGCGCTATCAAAGGGAAAGTTCAACTCTGTGAGGTGAATGCAAACATCCCAAAGAAGTTTCTGAGAATGCTTCCGTTTAGCTTTTAGGTGAAGATTATCCCGTTTCCAACGAAATCTTCAAAGAGTTCCAAATATCCCCTTGCGGATCCCACAGAAAGAGTGTTTCGAAACTGCTGTTTCAAAAGGAATCTTCAACTCTGTGAGTTGAATGCAATCATCACAAAGAAGTTTCTGACAATGCTTCTCTCTCGTCTTTCTGTGAAGATAAAGGAAAAGGCTTTCAGGCCTTTTCCACCACAGGCCTGAAAGCGCTCCAAATGTCCACTTGCAGATTCTGCCAAAAGAATATTTCAAAACTGCTCTATGAAAAGCAATGTTAAACTCTGCGGCTCGAACACAAACATCACAAAGCAGTTTCTGAGAATGCTTCAGTTTAGTTTTTCTGTGGAAATATTCCCGTTTCCAAAGAAATCTTCAAAGAGGTCCACGTATCCACTTACAGATTCTACAAAAAGACAGTTTCAAAACTGGTCAATCAAAAGGAGGGTTCAACTGTGTGACTTGAATGCAATCATCACTCAGAAGTTTCTGAGAACGCTTCTCTTTAGTTTTTACGTGAACATATACCCGTTTCGAACGAAGGCCAGCCAGTGGTCCAAATATCCACTTGCAGATTCTACAGAAAGAGTGTTTCGAATCTGAACTCTCAAAGGCAGGTTCATCTCTGCGAGTTCAATGCATTCATCATGAAGAACTTTCTCAGCGTGTTTGTGTTTAGTTATGGGAAATTATTCCCGTTTCCAACGAAATCCTCAGAGAGCTCAAATATCCACCTGCAGATTCTACCAAAAGTGTATTTGGAAACTGCTCCATCAAAAGGCATGTTCAGCTATGTGAGTGAAACACCATCATCACAAAGAATATTCTGAGAATGCTTCCGTTTGCCTTTTATATGAAGCTCCTTCCTATACTACCGTAGGCCTCAAAGCAGTCCAAATCTCCTTTTGCAGATTCTACAAAAAGAGTGATTCCAATCTGCTCTATCAATAGGATTGTTCAACTCCATGAGTTGAATGCCATCCTCACAAAGTCGTTTCTGAGAATGCTTCTATCTAGTTTTTATGTGAAGATATTTCCTTTTCCACCACAGGCCTCAAAGCCCTCCAAACGTCCACTTGCAGATTCTCGAAAAAGAGTGTTTCATAGCTGCTCTTTCAAAAGGAAAGTTCAACTCTGGGAGTTGAATACAAACATCACAAAGTAGTTTCCGAGAATGCTTCTGTTTAGTTCTTATGTGAAGATGATCCCGTTTCCAGTGAAATCTTCAAAGAGGTCCACATATCCCATTGCAGATTCCAAAGAAAGAGGGTTTCAAAACTGCTCCATCAAAAGGATTGTTCAACTCTGTGAGTTGAATGCAGTCATCGCAGAAAATTTTCTGAGAATGCTTCTGTCTAGGTTTGATGTGAAGATATAGACCTTTCAAACGAAGGCTACAAAGTGGTCAAAATATACACTTGCAGATTCTACTGCAAGGGTGTTGCAAACCTGACCTATCAAAGGAATGTTCAACTCTGTGAGTTGAATTCAAACATCATAAAGAATGTTCTGAGTTTGCTTCCGTTCAGTTATGGGAAGTTGATCCCGTTTCCAACGAAATCCTCAGAGAGGTCCAAATATCCCCTTGCAGATTCTACAAAACGTGTGTTTGGAAACTGCTCCATCATAACGAATGTTCAGCTCTCTGAGTTAAACTCCATCGTCACAAAAAATTTTCTGAGAGTGCTACCGTCTAGTTTTTATATGAAGTTCTTTCCTTTACTACCACAGGCCTCAAAGCGGTCCAAATCTCCACTTGCAGATTCTACAAAAAGAGTGTTTGCAAACTGCTCTATCAAAAGGAATGTTCAACTCTGGGAGTTGAATGCAATCATCACAGAGCAGTTTCTGAGAATGCTTCTATGTGGTTTTTAGGAGAAGATATTTCCTTTTCCAACACAGTCCTGCAAGCCCGCTAAATATCCACTTGCACATTTTAGAAAAAGTGTGTCGAAGCTGCGCTATCAAAGGGAAAGTTCAACTCTGTGAGGTGAATGCGAACATCCCAAAGAAGTTTCTGAGAATGCTTCCGTTTAGCTTTTAGGTGAAGATTATCCCGTTTCCAACGAAATCTTCAAAGAGGTCCAAATATCCCCTTGCGGATCCCACAGAAAGAGTGTTTCGAAACTGCTGTTTCAAAAGGAATCTTCAACTCTGTGAGTTGAATGCAATCATCACAAAGAAGTTTCTGACAATGCTTCTCTCTCGTCTTTCTGTGAAGATAAAGGAAAAGGCTTTCAGGCCTTTTCCACCACAGGCCTGAAAGCGCTCCAAATGTCCACTTGCAGATTCTGCCAAAAGAATATTTCAAAACTGCTCTATGAGAAGCAATGTTAAACTCTGTGGCTCGAACGCAAACATCACAAAGCAGTTTCTGAGAATGCTTCAGTTTAGTTTTTCTGTGGAAATATTCCCGTTTCCAAAGAAATCTTCAAAGAGGTCCACGCATCCACTTACAGATTCTACAAAAAGACAGTTTCAAAACTGCTCAATCAAAAGGAGCGTTCAACCGTGTGACTTGAATGCAATCATCACTCAGAAGTTTCTGAGAATGCTTCTCTTTAGTTTTTACGTGAACATATACCCGTTTCGAACGAAGGCCACCCAGTGGTCCAAATATCCACTTGCAGATTCTACAGAAAGAGTGTTTCGAACCTGAACTCTCAAAGGCAGGTTCATCTCTGCGAGTTCAATGCATTCAACATGAAGAACTTTCTCAGCGTGTTTGTGTTTAGTTATGGGAAATTATTGCCGTTCCCAACGAAAT
The DNA here is from genome assembly GCF_000001405.40 of Homo sapiens. NCBI lineage: Eukaryota > Metazoa > Chordata > Mammalia > Primates > Hominidae > Homo > Homo sapiens. The sequence continues at coordinate 59,030,594 of NC_000023.11, read as the reverse complement.
CCTCAGAGAGGTCCAAATATCCACCTGCAGATTCTACCAAAAGTGTATTTGGAAACTGCTCCATCAAAAGGCATGTTCAGCTCTGTGAGTGAAACTCCATCATCACAAAGAATATTCTGAGAATGCTTCCGTTTGCCTTTTATATGAAGTTCCTTCCTATACGACCGTAGGCCTCAAGCAGTCCAAATCTCCATTTGCAGATTCTACAAAAAGAGTGATTCCAATCTGCTCTATCAATAGGATTGTTCAACTCCATGAGTTGAATGCCATCCTCACAAAGTCGTTTCTGAGAATGCTTCTATCTAGTTTTTATGTGAAGATATTTCCTTTTCCACCACAGGCCTCAAAGCCCTCCAAACGTCCACTTGCAGATTCTCGAAAAAGAGTGTTTCATAGCTGCTCTTTCAAAAGGAAAGTTCAACTCTGGGAGTTGAATACAAACATCACAAAGTAGTTTCCGAGAATGCTTCTGTTTAGTTTTTATGTGAAGATGATCCCGTTTCCAGTGAAATCTTCAAAGAGGTCCACATATCCCCTTGCAGATTCCAAAGAAAGAGGGTTTCAAAACTGCTCCATCAGAAGGATTGTTCAACTCTGTGAGTTGAATGCAGTCATCGCAGAAAACTTTCTGAGAATGCTTCTGTCTAGGTTTGATGTGAAGATATAGACGTTTCAAACGAAGGCTACAAAGTGGTCAAAATATACACTTGCAGATTCTACTACAAGGGTGTTGCAAACCTGAACTATCAAAGGAAGGTTCAACTCTGTGAGTTGAATACAAACATCACAAAGAATGTTCTGAGTTTGCTTCCGTTCAGTTATGGGAAGTTGATCCCGTTTCCAACGAAATCCTCAGAGAGGTCCAAATATCCCCTTGCAGATTCTACAAAACGTGTGTTTGGAAACTGCTCCATCATAACGAATGTTCAGCTCCCTGAGTTAAACTCCATCGTCACAAAGAATTTTCTGAGAGTGCTACCGTCTGGTTTTTATATGAAGCTCTTTCCTTCACTACCACAGGCCTCAAAGCGGTCCAAATCTCCACTTGCAGATTCTACAAAAAGAGTGTTTGCAAACTGCTCTATCAAAAGGAATGTTCAACTCTGGGAGTTGAATGCAATCATCACAGAGCAGTTTCTGAGAATGCTTCTATGTCGTTTTTAGAAGATATTTCCTTTTCCAACACAGTCCTCCAAGCCCGCTAAATATCCACTTGCACATTGTAGAAAAAGTGTGTCAAAGCTGCGCTATCAAAGGGAAAGTTCAACTCTGTGAGGTGAATGCAAACATCCCAAAGAAGTTTCTGAGAATGCTTCCGTTTAGCTTTTAGGTGAAGATTATCCCGTTTCCAACGAAACCTTCAAAGAGGTCCAAATATCCCCTTGCGGATCCCACAGAAAGAGTGTTTCGAAACTGCTGTTTCAAAAGGAATCTTCAACTCTGTGAGTTGAATGCAATCATCACAAAGAAGTTTCTGACAATGCTTCTCTCTCGTCTTTCTGTGAAGATAAAGGAAAAGGCTTTCAGGCCTTTTCCACCACAGGCCTGAAAGCGCTCCAAATGTCCACTTGCAGATTCTGCCAAAAGAATATTTCAAAACTGCTCTATGAAAAGCAATGTTAAACTCTGTGGCTCGAACACAAACATCACAAAGCGGTTTCTGAGAATGCTTCAGTTTAGTTTTTCTGTGGAAATATTCCCGTTTCCAAAGAAATCTTCAAAGAGGTCCACGTATCCACTTACAGATTCTACAAAAAGACAGTTTCAAAACTGCTCCATCAAAAGGAGGGTTCAACTGTGTGACTTGAATGCAATCATCACTCAGAAGTTTCTGAGAATGCTTCTCTTTAGTTTTTACGTGAACATATACCCGTTTCGAACGAAGGCCAGCCAGTGGTCCAAATATCCACTTGCAGATTCTACAGAAAGAGTGTTTCGAACCTGAACTCTCAAAGGCAGGTTCATCTCTGCGAGTTAAATGCATTCATCATGAAGAACTTTCTCAGAGTGTTTGTGTTTAGTTATGGGAAATTATTCCCGTTTCCAACGAAATCCTCAGAGAGCTCCAAATATCCACCTGCAGATTCTACCAAAAGTGTATTTGGAAACTGCTCCATCAAAAGGCATGTTCAGCTCTGTGAGTGAAACTCCATCATCACAAAGAATATTCTGAGAATGCTTCCGTTTGCCTTTTATATGAAGTTCCTTCCTATACGACCGGAGGCCTCAAAGCAGTCCAAATCTCCATTTGCAGATTCTACAAAAAGAGTGATTCCAATCTGCTCTATCAATAGGATTGTTCAACTCCATGAGTTGAATGCCATCCTCACAAAGTCGTTTCTGAGAATGCTTCTATTCTAGTTTTTATGTGAAGATATTTCCTTTTCCACCACAGGCCTCAAAGCCCTCCAAACGTCCACTTGCAGATTCTCGAAAAAGAGTGTTTCATAGCTGCTCTTTCAAAAGGAAAGTTCAACTCTGGGAGTTGAATACAAACATCACAAAGTAGTTTCCGAGAATGCTTCTGTTTAGTTCTTAAGTGAAGATGATCCCGTTTCCAGTGAAATCTTGAAAGAGGTCCACATATCCCCTTGCAGATTCCAAAGAAAGAGGGTTTCAAAACTGCTCCATCAAAAGGATTGCTCAACTCTGTGAGTTGAATGCAGTCATCGCAGAAAACTTTCTGAGAATGCTTCTGTCTAGGTTTGATGTGAAGATATAGACGTTTCAAACGAAGGCTACAAAGTGGTCAAAATATACACTTGCAGATTCTACTACAAGGGTGTTGCAAACCTGAACTATCAAAGGAAGGTTCAACTCTGTGAGTTGAATACAAACATCACAAAGAATGTTCTGAGTTTGCTTCCGTTCAGTTATGGGAAGTTGATCCCGTTTCCAACGAAATCCTCAGAGAGGTCCAAATATCCCCTTGCAGATTCTGCAAAACGTGTGTTTGGAAACTGCTCCATCATAACGAATGTTCAGCTCTCTGAGTTAAACTCCATCGTCACAAAGAATTTTCTGAGAGTGCTACCATCTACTTTTTATATGAAGTTCTTTCCTTTACTACCACAGGCCTCAAAGCGGTCCAAATCTCCACTTGCAGATTCTACAAAAAGAGTGTTTGCAAACTGCTCTATCAAAAGGAATGTTCAACTCTGGGAGTTGAATGCAATCATCACAGAGCAGTTTCTGAGAATCCTTCTATGTCGTTTTTAGGAGAAGATATTTCCTTTTCCAACACAGTCCTCCAAGCCCGCTAAATATCCACTTGCGCATTGTAGAAAAAGTGTGTCGAAGCTGCGCTATCAAAGGGAAAGTTCAACTCTGTGAGGTGAATGCAAACATCCCAAAGAAGTTTCTGAGAATGCTTCCGTTTAGCTTTCAGGTGAAGATTATCCCGTTTCCAACGAAATCTTCAAAGAGGTCCAAATATCCCCTTGCGGATCCCACAGAAAGAGTGTTTCGAAACTGCTGTTTCAAAAGGAATCTTCAACTCTGTGAGTTGAATGCAATCATCACAAAGAAGTTTCTGACAATGCTTCTCTCTCGTCTTTCTGTGAAGATAAAGGAAAAGGCTTTCAGGCCTTTTCCACCACAGGCCTGAAAGCGCTCCAAATGTCCACTTGCAGATTCTGCCAAAAGAATATTTCAAAACTGCTCTATGAAAAGCAATGTTAAACTCTGTGGCTCGAACACCAACATCACAAAGCAGTTTCTGAGAATGCTTCAGTTTAGTTTTTCTGTGGAAATATTCCCGTTTCCAAGGAAATCTTCCAAGAGGTCCACGTATCCACTTACAGATTCTACAAAAAGACAGTTTCAAAACTGCTCAATCAAAAGGCGGGTTCAACTGTGTGACTTGAATGCAATCATCACTCAGAAGTTTCTGAGAATGCTTCTCTTTAGTTTTTACGTGAACATATACCCGTTTCGAACGAAGGCCAGCCAGTGGTCCAAATATCCACTTGCAGATTCTACAGAAAGAGTGTTTCGAACCTGAACTCTCAAAGGCAGGTTCATCTCTGCGAGTTAAATGCATTCATCATGAAGAACTTTCTCAGAGTGTTTGTGTTTAGTTATGGGAAATTATTCCCGTTTCCAACGAAATCCTCCGACAGGTCCAAATATCCACCTGCAGATTCTACCAAAAGTGTATTTGGAAACTGCTCCATCAAAAGGCATGTTCAGCTCTGTGAGTGAAACTCCATCATCACAAAGAATATTCTGAGAATGCGTCCGTTTGCCTTTTATATGAAGTTCCTTCCTATACTACCGTAGGCCTCAAAGCAGTCCAAATCTCCATTTGCAGATTCTACAAAAAGAGTGATTCCAATCTGCTCTATCAATAGGATTGTTCAACTCCATGAGTTGAATGCCATCCTCACAAAGTCGTTTCTGAGAATGCTTCTATCTAGTTTTTATGTGAAGATATTTCCTTTTCCACCACAGGCCTCAAAGCCCTCCAAACGTCCACTTGCAGATTCTCGAAAAAGAGTGTTTCATAGCTGCTCTTTCAAAAGGAAAGTTCAACTCTGGGAGTTGAATACAAACATCACAAAGTAGTTTCCGAGAATGCTTCTGTTTAGTTTTTATGTGAAGATGATCCCGTTTCCAGTGAAATCTTCAAAGAGGTCCACATATCCCCTTGCAGATTCCAAAGAAAGAGGGTTTCAAAACTGCTCCATCAGAAGGATTGTTCAACTCTGTGAGTTGAATGCAGTCATCGCAGAAAACTTTCTGAGAATGCTTCTGTCTAGGTTTGATGTGAAGATATAGACGTTTCAAACGAAGGCTACAAAGTGGTCAAAATATACACTTGCAGATTCTACTACAAGGGTGTTGCAAACCTGAACTATCAAAGGAAGGTTCAACTCTGTGAGTTGAATACAAACATCACAAAGAATGTTCTGAGTTTGCTTCCGTTCAGTTATGGGAAGTTGATCCCGTTTCCAACGAAATCCTCAGAGAGGTCCAAATATCCCCTTGCAGATTCTACAAAACGTGTGTTTGGAAACTGCTCCATCATAACGAATGTTCAGCTCCCTGAGTTAAACTCCATCGTCACAAAGAATTTTCTGAGAGTGCTACCGTCTGGTTTTTATATGAAGTTCTTTCCTTCACTACCACAGGCCTCAAAGCGGTCCAAATCTCCACTTGCAGATTCTACAAAAAGAGTGTTTGCAAACTGCTCTATCAAAAGGAATGTTCAACTCTGGGAGTTGAATGCAATCATCACAGAGCAGTTTCTGAGAATGCTTCTATGTCGTTTTTAGGAGAAGATATTTCCTTTTCCAACACAGTCCTCCAAGCCCGCTAAATAGCCACTTGCACATTGTAGAAAAAGTGTGTCAAAGCTGCGCTATCAAAGGGAAAGTTCAACTCTGTGAGGTGAATGCAAACATCCCAAAGAAGTTTCTGAGAATGCTTCCGTTTAGCTTTTAGGTGAAGATTATCCCGTTTCCAACGAAACCTTCAAAGAGGTCCAAATATCCCCTTGCGGATCCCACAGAAAGAGTGTTTCGAAACTGCTGTTTCAAAAGGAATCTTCAACTCTGTGAGTTGAATGCAATCATCACAAAGAAGTTTCTGACAATGCTTCTCTCTCGTCTTTCTGTGAAGATAAAGGAAAAGGCTTTCAGGCCTTTTCCACCACAAGCCTGAAAGCGCTCCAAATGTCCACTTGCAGATTCTGCCAAAAGAATATTTCAAAACTGCTCTATGAAAAGCAATGTTAAACTCTGCGGCTCGAACACAAACATCACAAAGCGGTTTCTGAGAATGCTTCAGTTTAGTTTTTCTGTGGAAATATTCCCGTTTCCAAAGAAATCTTCAAAGAGGTCCACGTATCCACTTACAGATTCTACAAAAAGACAGTTTCAAAACTGCTCCATCAAAAGGAGGGTTCAACTGTGTGACTTGAATGCAATCATCACTCAGAAGTTTCTGAGAATGCTTCTCTTTAGTTTTTACGTGAACATATACCCGTTTCGAACGAAGGCCACCCAGTGGTCCAAATATCCACTTGCAGATTCTACAGAAAGAGTGTTTCGAACCTGAACTCTCAAAGGCAGGTTCATCTCTGCGAGTTAAATGCATTCATCATGAAGAACTTTCTCAGCGTGTTTGTGTTTAGTTATGGGAAATTATTCCCGTTTCCAACGAAATCCTCAAAGAGCTCCAAATATCCACCTGCAGATTCTACCAAAAGTGTATTTGGAAACTGCTCCATCAAAAGGCATGTTCAGCTCTGTGAGTGAAACTCCATCATCACAAAGAATATTCTGAGAATGCTTCCGTTTGCCTGTTATATGAAGTTCCTTCCTATACGACCGTAGGCCTCAAAGCAGTCCAAATCTCCATTTGCAGATTCTACAAAAAGAGTGATTCCAATCTGCTCTATCAATAGGATTGTTCAACTCCATGAGTTGAATGCCATCTTCCAAAGTAGTTTCTGAGAATGCTTCTATCTAGTTTTTATGTGAAGATATTTCCTTTTCCACCACAGGCCTCAAAGCCCTCCAAACGTCCACTTGCAGATTCTCGAAAAAGAGTGTTTCATAGCTGCTCTTTCAAAAGGAAAGTTCAACTCTGGGAGTTGAATACAAACATCACAAAGTAGTTTCCGAGAATGCTTCTGTTTAGTTTTTATGTGAAGATGATCCCGTTTCCAGTGAAATCTTCAAAGAGGTCCACATATCCCCTTGCAGATTCCAAAGAAAGAGGGTTTCAAAACTGCTCCATCAGAAGGATTGTTCAACTCTGTGAGTTGAATGCAGTCATCGCAGAAAACTTTCTGAGAATGCTTCTGTCTAGGTTTGATGTGAAGATATAGACGTTTCAAACGAAGGCTACAAAGTGGTCAAAATATACACTTGCAGATTCTACTACAAGGGTGTTGCAAACCTGAACTATCAAAGGAAGGTTCAACTCTGTGAGTTGAATACAAACATCACAAAGAATGTTCTGAGTTTGCTTCTGTTCAGTTATGGGATGTTGATCCCGTTTCCAACGAAATCCTCAGAGAGGTCCAAATATCCCCTTGCAGATTCTACAAAACGTGTGTTTGGAAACTGCTCCATCATAACGAATGTTCAGCTCCCTGAGTTAAACTCCATCGTCACAAAGAATTTTCTGAGAGTGCTACCGTCTGGTTTTTATATGAAGCTCTTTCCTTCACTACCACAGGCCTCAAAGCGGTCCAAATCTCCACTTGCAGATTCTACAAAAAGAGTGTTTGCAAACTGCTCTATCAAAAGGAATGTTCAACTCTGGGAGTTGAATGCAATCATCACAGAGCAGTTTCTGAGAATGCTTCTATGTCGTTTTTAGGAGAAGATATTTCCTTTTCCAACACAGTCCTCCAAGCCCGCTAAATAGCCACTTGCACATTGTAGAAAAAGTGTGTCGAAGCTGCGCTATCAAAGGGAAAGTTCAACTCTGTGAGGTGAATGCAAACATCCCAAAGAAGTTTCTGAGAATGCTTCCGTTTAGCTTTTAGGTGAAGATTATCCCGTTTCCAACGAAACCTTCAAAGAGGTCCAAATATCCCCTTGCGGATCCCACAGAAAGAGTGTTTCGAAACTGCTGTTTCAAAAGGAATCTTCAACTCTGTGAGTTGAATGCAATCATCACAAAGAAGTTTCTGACAATGCTTCTCTCTCGTCTTTCTGTGAAGATAAAGGAAAAGGCTTTCAGGCCTTTGCCACCACAGGCCTGAAAGCGCTCCAAATGTCCACTTGCAGATTCTGCGAAAAGAATATTTCAAAACTGCTCTATGAAAAGCAATGTTAAACTCTGTGGCTGGAACACAAACATCACAAAGCGGTTTCTGAGAATGTTTCAGTTTAGTTTTTCTGTGGAAATATTCCCGTTTCCAAAGAAATCTTCAAAGAGGTCCACGTATCCACTTACAGATTCTACAAAAAGACAGTTTCAAAACTGCTCCATCAAAAGGAGGGTTCAACTGTGTGACTTGAATGCAATCATCACTCAGAAGTTTCTGAGAATGCTTCTCTTTAGTTTTTACGTGAACATATACCCGTTTCGAACGAAGGCCACCCAGTGGTCCAAATATCCACTTGCAGATTATACAGAAAGAGTGTTTCGAACCTGAACTCTCAAAGGCAGGTTCATCTCTGCGAGTTAAATGCATTCATCATGAAGAACTTTCTCAGAGTGTTTGTGTTTAGTTATGGGAAATTATTCCCGTTTCCAACGAAATCCTCAGAGAGGTCCAAATATCCACCTGCAGATTCTACCAAAAGTGTATTTGGAAACTGCTCCATCAAAAGGCATGTTCAGCTCTGTGAGTGAAACTCCATCATCACAAAGAATATTCTGAGAATGCTTCCGTTTGCCTTTTATATGAAGTTCCTTCCTATACGACCGTAGGCCTCAAAGCAGTCCAAATCTCCATTTGCAGATTCTACAAAAAGAGTGATTCCAATCTGCTCTATCAATAGGATTGTTCAACTCCATGAGTTGAATGCCATCCTCACAAAGTAGTTTCTGAGAATGCTTCTATCTAGTTTTTATGTGAAGGTATTTCCTTTTCCAGCACAGGCCTCCAAGCCCTCCAAACGTCCACTTGCAGATTCTCGAAAAAGAGTGTTTCATAGCTGCTCTTTCAAAAGGAAAGTTCAACTCTGGGAGTTGAATACAAACATCACAAAATAGTTTCCGAGAATGCTTCTGTTTAGTTTTTATGTGAAGATGATCCCGTTTCCAGTGAAATCTTCAAAGAGGTCCACATATCCCATTGCAGATTCCAAAGAAAGAGGGTTTAAAAACTGCTCCATCAGAAGGATTGTTCAACTCTGTGAGTTCAATGCAGTCATCGCAGAAAACTTTCTGAGAATGCTTCTGTCTAGGTTTGATGTGAAGATATAGACGTTTCAAACGAAGGCTACAAAGTGGTCAAAATATACACTTGCAGATTCTACTACAAGGGTGTTGCAAACCTGAACTATCAAAGGAAGGTTCAACTCTGTGAGTTGAATACAAACATCACAAAGAATGTTCTGAGTTTGCTTCCGTTCAGTTATGGGAAGTTGATCCCGTTTCCAACGAAATCCTCAGAGAGGTCCAAATATCCCCTCGCAGATTCTACAAAACGTGTGTTTGGAAACTGCTCCATCATAACGAATGTTCAGCTCCCTGAGTTAAACTCCATCGTCACAAAGAATTTTCTGAGAGTGCTACCGTCTGGTTTTTATATGAAGTTCTTTCCTTCACTACCACAGGCCTCAAAGCGGTCCAAATCTCCACTTGCAGATTCTACAAAAAGAGTGTTTGCAAACTGCTCTATCAAAAGGAATGTTCAACTCTGGGAGTTGAATGCAATCATCACAGAGCAGTTTCTGAGAATGCTTCTATGTCGTTTTTAGGAGAAGATATTTCCTTTTCCAACACAGTCCTCCAAGCCCGCTAAATAGCCACTTGCACATTGTAGAAAAAGTGTGTCAAAGCTGCGCTATCAAAGGGAAAGTTCAACTCTGTGAGGTGAATGCAAACATCCCAAAGAAGTTTCTGAGAATGCTTCCGTTTAGCTTTTAGGTGAAGATTATCCCGTTTCCAACGAAACCTTCAAAGAGGTCCAAATATCCCCTTGCGGATCCCACAGAAAGAGTGTTTCGAAACTGCTGTTTCAAAAGGAATCTTCAACTCTGTGAGTTGAATGCAATCATCACAAAGAAGTTTCTGACAATGCTTCTCTCTCGTCTTTCTGTGAACATAAAGGAAAAGGCGTTCAGGCCTTTGCCACCACAGGCCTGAAAGCGCTCCAAATGTCCACTTGCAGATTCTGCCAAAAGAATATTTCAAAACTGCTCTATGAAAAGCAATGTTAAACTCTGTGGCTCGAACACAAACATCACAAAGCGGTCTCTGAGAATGCTTCAGTTTAGTTTTTCTGTGGAAATATTCCCGTTTCCAAAGAAATCTTCAAAGAGGTCCACGTATCCACTTACAGATTCTACAAAAAGACAGTTTCAAAACTGCTCAATCAAAAGGAGGGTTCAACTCTGTGACTTGAATGCAATCATCACTCAGAAGTTTCTGAGAATGCTTCTCTTTAGTTTTTACGTGAACATATACCCGTTTCGAACGAAGGCCACCCAGTGGTCCAAATGTCCACTTGCAGATTCTACAGAAAGAGTGTTTCGAACCTGAACTCTCAAAGGCAGGTTCATCTCTGCGAGTTAAATGCATTCATCATGAAGAACTTTCTCAGCGTGTTTGTGTTTAGTTATGGGAAATTATTCCCGTTCCCAACGAAATCCTCAGAGAGGTCCAAATGTCCACCTGCAGATTCTACCAAAAGTGTATTTGGAAACTGCTCCATCAACAGGCATGTTCAGCTCTGTGAGTGAAACTCCATCATCACAAAGAATATTCTGAGAATGCTTCCGTTTGCCTTTTATATGAAGTTCCTTCCTATACGACCGTAGGCCTCAAAGCAGTGCAAATCTCCATTTGCAGATTCTACAAAAAGAGTGATTCCAATCTGCTCTATCAATAGGATTGTTCAACTCCATGAGTTGAATGCCATCCTCACAAAGTCGTTTCTGAGAATGCTTCTATCTAGTTTTTATGTGAAGATATTTCCTTTTCCACCACAGGCCTCAAAGCCCTCCAAACGTCCACTTGTAGATTCTCGAAAAAGAGTGTTTCATAGCTGCTCTTTCAAAAGGAAAGTTCAACTCTGGGAGTTGAATACAAACATCACAAAGTAGTTTCCGAGAATGCTTCTGTTTAGTTTTTATGTGAAGATGATCCCGTTTCCAGTGAAATCTTCAAAGAGGTCCACATATCCCCTTGCAGATTCCAAAGAAAGAGGGTTTCAAAACTGCTCCATCAGAAGGATTGTTCAACTCTGTGAGTTGAATGCAGTCATCGCAGAAAACTTTCTGAGAATGCTTCTGTCTAGGTTTGATGTGAAGATATAGACGTTTCAAACGAAGGCTACAAAGTGGTCAAAATATACACTTGCAGATTCTACTACAAGGGTGTTGCAAACCTGAACTATCAAAGGAAGGTTCAACTCTGTGAGTTGAATACAAACATCACAAAGAATGTTCTGAGTTTGCTTCCGTTCAGTTATGGGAAGTTGATCCCGTTTCCAACGAAATCCTCAGAGAGGTCCAAATATCCCCTCGCAGATTCTACAAAACATGTGTTTGGAAACTGCTCCATCATAACGAATGTTCAGCTCCCTGAGTTAAACTCCATCGTCACAAAGAATTTTCTGAGAGTGCTACCGTCTGGTTTTTATATGAAGTTCTTTCCTTCACTACCACAGGCCTCAAAGCGGTCCAAATCTCCACTTGCAGATTCTACAAAAAGAGTGTTTGCAAACTGCTCTATCAAAAGGAATGTTCAACTCTGGGAGTTGAATGCAATCATCACAGAGCAGTTTCTGAGAATGCTTCTATGTCGTTTTTAGGAGAAGATATTTCCTTTTCCAACACAGTCCTCCAAGCCCGCTAAATAGCCACTTGCACATTGTAGAAAAAGTGTGTCAAAGCTGCGCTATCAAAGGGAAAGTTCAACTCTGTGAGGTGAATGCAAACATCCCAAAGAAGTTTCTGAGAATGCTTCCGTTTAGCTTTTAGGTGAAGATTATCCCGTTTCCAACCAAACCTTCAAAGAGGTCCAAATATCCCCTTGCGGATCCCACAGAAAGAGTGTTTCGAAACTGCTGTTTCAAAAGGAATCTTCAACTCTGTGAGTTGAATGCAATCATCACAAAGAAGTTTCTGACAATGCTTCTCTCTCGTCTTTCTGTGAAGATAAAGGAAAAGGCTTTCAGGCCTTTGCCACCACAGGCCTGAAAGCGGTCCAAATGTCCACTTGCAGATTCTGCCAAAAGAATATTTCAAAACTGCTCTATGAAAAGCAATGTTAAACTCTGCGGCTCGAACACAAACATCACAAAGCGGTTTCTGAGAATGCTTCAGTTTAGTTTTTCTGTGGAAATATTCCCGTTTCCAAAGAAATCTTCAAAGAGGTCCACGTATCCACTTACAGATTCTACAAAAAGACAGTTTCAAAACTGCTCCATCAAAAGGAGGGTTCAACTGTGTGACTTCAATGCAATCATCACTCAGAAGTTTCTGAGAATGCTTCTCTTTAGTTTTTACGTGAACATATACCCGTTTCGAACGAAGGCCACCCAGTGGTCCAAATATCCACTTGCAGATTATACAGAAAGAGTGTTTCGAACCTGAACTCTCAAAGGCAGGTTCATCTCTGCGAGTTAAATGCATTCATCATGAAGAACTTTCTCAGCGTTTTTGTGTTTAGTTATGGGAAATTATTCCCGTTTCCAACGAAATCCTCAGAGTGGTCCAAATATCCACCTGCAGATTCTACCAAAAGTGTATTTGGAAACTGCTCCATCAAAAGGCATGTTCAGCTCTGTGAGTGAAACTCCATCATCACAAAGAATATTCTGAGAATGCTTCCGTTTGCCTTTTATCTGAAGTTCCTTCCTATACGACCGTAGGCCTCAAAGCAGTCCAAATCTCCATTTGCAGATTCTACAAAAAGAGTGATTCCAATCTGCTCTATCAATAGGATTGTTCAACTCCATGAGTTGAATGCCATCCTCACAAAGTCGTTTCTGAGAATGCTTCTATCTAGTTTTTATGTGAAGATATTTCCTTTTCCACCACAGGCCTCAAAGCCCTCCAAACGTCCACTTGCAGATTCTCGAAAAAGAGTGTTTTATAGCTGCTCTTTCAAAAGGAAAGTTCAACTCTGGGAGTTGAATACAAACATCACAAAGTAGTTTCCGAGAATGCTTCTGTTTAGTTTTTATGTGAAGATGATCCCGTTTCCAGTGAAATCTTCAAAGAGGTCCACATATCCCCTTGCAGATTCCAAAGAAAGAGGGTTTCAAAACTGCTCCATCAGAAGGATTGTTCAACTCTGTGAGTTGAATGCAGTCATCGCAGAAAACTTTCTGAGAATGCTTCTGTCTAGGTTTGATGTGAAGATATAGACGTTTCAAACGAAGGCTACAAAGTGGTCAAAATATACACTTGCAGATTCTACTACAAGGGTGTTGCAAACCTGAACTATCAAAGGAAGGTTCAACTCTGTGAGTTGAATACAAACATCACAAAGAATGTTCTGAGTTTGCTTCCGTTCAGTTATGGGAAGTTGATCCCGTTTCCAACGAAATCCTCAGAGAGGTCCAAATATCCCCTTGCAGATTCTACAAAACGTGTGTTTGGAAACTGCTCCATCATAACGAATGTTCAGCTCCCTGAGTTAAACTCCATCGTCACAAAGAATTTTCTGAGAGTGCTACCGTCTGGTTTTTATATGAAGCTCTTTCCTTCACTACCACAGGCCTGAAAGCGGTCCAAATCTCCACTTGCAGATTCTACAAAAAGAGTGTTTGCAAACTGCTCTATCAAAAGGAATGTTCAACTCTGGGAGTTGAATGCAATCATCACAGAGCAGTTTCTGAGAATGCTTCTATGTCGTTTTTAGGAGAAGATATTTCCTTTTCCAACACAGTCCTCCAAGCCCGCTAAATAGCCACTTGCACATTGTAGAAAAAGTGTGTCAAAGCTGCGCTATCAAAGGGAAAGTTCAACTCTGTGAGGTGAATGCAAACATCCCAAAGAAGTTTCTGAGAATGCTTCCGTTTAGCTTTTAGGTGAAGATTATCCCGTTTCCAACGAAACCTTCAAAGAGGTCCAAATATCCCCTTGCGGATCCCACAGAAAGAGTGTTTCGAAACTGCTGTTTCAAAAGGAATCTTCAACTCTGTGAGTTGAATGCAATCATCACAAAGAAGTTTCTGACAATGCTTCTCTCTCGTCTTTCTGTGAAGATAAAGGAAAAGGCTTTCAGGCCTTTTCCACCACAGGCCTGAAAGCGCTCCAAATGTCCACTTGCAGATTCTGCCAAAAGAATATTTCAAAACTGCTCTATGAAAAGCAATGTTAAACTCTGTGGTTCGAACACAAACATCACAAAGCGGTTTCTGAGAATGCTTCAGTTTAGTTTTTCTGTGGAAATATTCCCGTTTCCAAAGAAATCTTCAAAGAGGTCCACGTATCCACTTACAGATTCTACAAAAAGACAGTTTCAAAACTGCTCCATCAAAAGGAGGGTTCAACTGTGTGACTTGAATGCAATCATCACTCACAAGTTTCTGAGAATGCTTCTCTTTAGTTTTTAAGTGAACATATACCCGTTTCGAACGAAGGCCAGCCAGTGGTCCAAATATCCACTTGCAGATTCTACAGAAAGAGTGTTTCGAACCTGAACTCTCAAAGGCAGGTTCATCTCTGCGAGTTAAATGCATTCATCATGAAGAACTTTCTCAGAGTGTTTGTGTTTAGTTATGGGAAATTATTCCCGTTTCCAACGAAATCCTCAGAGAGCTCCAAATATCCACCTGCAGATTCTACCAAAAGTGTATTTGGAAACTGCTCCATCAAAAGGCATGTTCAGCTCTGTGAGTGAAACTCCATCATCACAAAGAATATTCTGAGAATGCTTCCGTTTGCCTTTTATATGAAGTTCCTTCCTATACGACCGTAGGCCTCAAAGCAGTCCAAATCTCCATTTGCAGATTCTACAAAAAGAGTGATTCCAATCTGCTCTATCAATAGGATTGTTCAACTCCATGAGTTGAATGCCATCCTCACAAAGTAGTTTCTGAGAATGCTTCTATCTAGTTTTTATGTGAAGATATTTCCTTTTCCACCACAGGCCTCAAAGCCCTCCAAACGTCCACTTGCAGATTCTCGAAAAAGAGTGTTTCATAGCTGCTCTTTCAAAAGGAAAGTTCAACTCTGGGAGTTGAATACAAACATCACAAAGTAGTTTCCGAGAATGCTTCTGTTTAGTTTTTATGTGAAGATGATCCCGTTTCCAGTGAAATCTTCAAAGAGGTCCCACATATCCCCTTGCAGATTCCAAAGAAAGAGGGTTTCAAAACTGCTCCATCAAAAGGATTGTTCAACTCTGTGAGTTGAATGCAGTCATCGCAGAAAACTTTCTGAGAATGCTTCTGTCTAGGTTTGATGTGAAGATATAGACGTTTCAAACGAAGGCTACAAAGTGGTCAAAATATACACTTGCAGATTCTACTACAAGGGTGATGCAAACCTCAACTATAAAAGGAAGGTTCAACTCTGTGAGTTGAATACAAACATCACAAAGAATGTTCTGAGTTTGCTTCCGTTCAGTTATGGGAAGTTGATCCCGTTTCCAACGAAATCCTCAGAGAGGTCCAAATATCCCCTTGCAGATTCTACAAAACGTGTGTTTGGAAACTGCTCCATCATAACGAATGTTCAGCTCTCTGAGTTAAACTCCATCGTCACAAAGAATTTTCTGAGAGTGCTACCCTCTGGTTTTTATATGAAGTTGTTTCCTTTACTACCACAGGCCTCAAAGCGGTCCAAATCTCCACTTGCAGATTCTACAAAAAGAGTGTTTGCAAACTGCTCTATCAAAAGGAATGTTCAACTCTGGGAGTTGAAAGCAATCATCACAGAGCAGTTTCTGAGAATGCTTCTATGTCGTTTTTAGGAGAAGATATTTCCTTTTCCAACACAGTCCTCCAAGCCCGCTAAATATCCACTTGCACATTGTAGAAAAAGTGTGTCGAAGCTGCGCTATCAAAGGGAAAGTTCAACTCTGTGAGGTGAATGCAAACATCCCAAAGAAGTTTCTGAGAATGCTTCCGTTTAGCTTTTAGGTGAAGATTATCCCGTTTCCAACGAAATCTTCAAAGAGGTCCAAATATCCCCCTGCGGATCCCACAGAAAGAGTGTTTCGAAACTGCTGTTTCAAAAGGAATCTTCAACTCTGTGAGTTGAATGCAATCATCACAAAGAAGTTTCTGACAATGCTTCTCTCTCGTCTTTCTGTGAAGATAAAGGAAAAGGCTTTCAGGCCTTTTCCACCCACAGGCCTGAAAGCGCTCCAAATGTCCACTTGCAGATTCTGCCAAAAGAATATTTCAAAACTGCTCTATGAAAAGCAATGTTAAACTCTGCGGCTCGAACACAAACATCACAAAGCAGTTTCTGAGAATGCTTCAGTTTAGTTTTTCTGTGGAAATATTCCCGTTTCCAAAGAAATCTTCAAAGAGGTCCACGTATCCACTTACAGATTCTACAAAAAGACAGTTTCAAAACTGCTCAATCAAAAGGAGGGTTCAACCGTGTGACTTGAATGCAATCATCACTCAGAAGTTTCTGAGAATGCTTCTCTTTAGTTTTTACGTGAACATATACCCGTTTCGAACGAAGGCCAGCCAGTGGTCCAAATATCCACTTGCAGATTCTACAGAAAGAGTGTTTCGAACCTGAACTCTCAAAGGCAGGTTCATCTCTGCGAGTTCAATGCATTCATCATGAAGAACTTTCTCAGAGTGTTTGTGTTTAGTTATGGGAAATTATTCCCGTTTCCAACGAAATCCTCAGAGAGGTCCAAATATCCACCTGCAGATTCTACCAAAAGTGTATTTGGAAACTGCTCCATCAAAAGGCATGTTCAGCTCTGTGAGTGAAACTCCATCATCACAAAGAATATTCTCAGAATGCTTCCGTTTGCCTTTTATATGAAGTTCCTTCCCATACTACCGTAGGCCTCAAAGCAGTCCAAATCTCCATTTGCAGATTCTACAAAAAGAGTGATTCCAATCTGCTCTATCAATAGGATTGTTCAACTCCATGAGTTGAATGCCATCGTCACAAAGTAGTTTCTGAGAATGCTTCTATCTAGTTTTTATGTGAAGATATTTCCTTTTCCACCACAGGCCTCAAAGCCCTCCAAACGTCCACTTGCAGATTCTCGAAAAAGAGTGTTTCATAGCTGCTCTTTCAAAAGGAAAGTTCAACTCTGGGAGTTGAATACAAACATCACAAAGTAGTTTCCGAGAATGCTTCTGTTTAGTTTTTATGTGAAGATGATCCCGTTTCCAGTGAAATCTTCAAAGAGGTCCACATATGCCCTTGCAGATTCCAAAGAAAGAGGGTTTCAAAACTGCTCCAGCAAAAGGATTGTTCAACTCTGTGAGTTGAATGCAGTCATCGCAGAAAACTTTCTGAGAATGCTTCTGTCTAGGTTTGATGTGAAGATATAGACGTTTCAAACGAAGGCTACAAAGTGGTCAAAATATACACTTGCAGATTCTACTACAAGGGTGTTGCAAACCTGAACTATCAAAGGAAGGTTCAACTCTGTGAGTTGAATACAAACATCACAAAGAATGTTCTGAGTTTGCTTCCGTTCAGTTATGGGACGTTGATCCCGTTTCCAACGAAATCCTCAGAGAGGTCCGAATATCCCCTTGCAGATTCTACAAAACGTGTGTTTGGAAACTGCTCCATCATAACGAATGTTCAGCTCTCTGAGTTAAACTCCATCGTCACAAAGAATTTTCTGAGAGTGCTACCGTCTAGTTTTTATATGAAGTTCTTTCCTTTACTACCACAGGCCTCAAAGCGGTCCAAATCTCCACTTGCAGATTCTACAAAAAGAGTGTTTGCAAACTGCTCTATCAAAAGGAATGTTCAACTCTGGGAGTTGAATGCAATCATCACAGAGCAGTTTCTGAGAATGCTTCTATGTCGTTTTTAGGAGAAGATATTTCCTTTTCCAACACAGTCCTCCAAGCCCGCTAAATAGCCACTTGCACATTGTAGAAAAAGTGTGTCGAAGCTGCGCTATCAAAGGGAAAGTTCAACTCTGTGAGGTGAATGCAAACATCCCAAAGAAGTTTCTGAGAATGCTTCCATTTAGCTTTTAGGTGAAGATTATCCCGTTTCCAACGAAACCTTCAAAGAGGTCCAAATATCCCCTTGCGGATCCCACAGAAAGAGTGTTTCGAAACTGCTGTTTCAAAAGGAATCTTCAACTCTGTGAGTTGAATGCAATCATCACAAAGAAGTTTCTGACAATGCTTCTCTCTCGTCTTTCTGTGAAGATAAAGGAAAAGGCTTTCAGGCCTTTTCCACCACAGGCCTGAAAGCGCTCCAAATGTCCACTTGCAGATTCTGCCAAAAGAATATTTCAAAACTGCTCTATGAAAAGCAATGTTAAACTCTGCGGCTCGAACACCAACATCACAAAGCAGTTTCTGAGAATGCTTCAGTTTAGTTTTTCTGTGGAAATATTCCCGTTTCCAAAGAAATCTTCCAAGAGGTCCACGAATCCACTTACAGATTCTACAAAAAGACAGTTTCAAAACTGCTCAATCAAAAGGCGGGTTCAACTGTGTGACTTGAATGCAATCATCACTCAGAAGTTTCTGAGAATGCTTCTCTTTAGTTTTTACGTGAACATATACCCGTTTCGAACGAAGGCCAGCCAGTGGTCCAAATATCCACTTGCAGATTCTACAGAAAGAGTGTTTCGAACCTGAACTCTCAAAGGCAGGTTCATCTCTGCGAGTTAAATGCATTCATCATGAAGAACTTTCTCAGAGTGTTTGTGTTTAGTTATGGGAAATTATTCCCGTTTCCAACGAAATCCTCCGACAGGTCCAAATATCCACCTGCAGATTCTACCAAAAGTGTATTTGGAAACTGCTCCATCAAAAGGCATGTTCAGCTCTGTGAGTGAAACTCCATCATCACAAAGAATATTCTGAGAATGCGTCCGTTTGCCTTTTATATGAAGTTCCTTCCTATACTACCGTAGGCCTCAAAGCAGTCCAAATCTCCCTTTGCAGATTCTACAAAAAGAGTGATTCCAATCTGCTCTATCAATAGGATTGTTCAACTCCATGAGTTGAATGCCATCCTCACAAAGTCGTTTCTGAGAATGCTTCTATCTAGTTTTTATGTGAAGATATTTCCTTTTCCACCACAGGCCTCAAAGCCCTCCAAACGTCCACTTGCAGATTCTCGAAAAAGAGTGTTTCATAGCTGCTCTTTCAAAAGGAAAGTTCAACTCTGGGAGTTGAATACAAACATCACAAAGTAGTTTCCGAGAATGCTTCTGTTTAGTTCTTATGTGAAGATGATCCCGTTTCCAGTGAAATCTTGAAAGAGGTCCACATATCCCCTTGCAGATTCCAAAGAAAGAGGGTTTCAAAACTGCTCCATCAAAAGGATTACTCAACTCTATGAGTTGTATGCAGTCATCGCAGAAAACTTTCTGAGAATGCTTCTGTCTAGGTTTGATGTGAAGATATAGACGTTTCAAACGAAGGCTACAAAGTGGTCAAAATATACACTTGCAGATTCTACTACAAGGGTGTTGCAAACCTGAACTATCAAAGGAAGGTTCAACTCTGTGAGTTGAATACAAACATCACAAAGAATGTTCTGAGTTTGCTTCCGTTCAGTTATGGGAAGTTGATCCCGTTTCCAACGAAATCCTCAGAGAGGTCCAAATATCCCCTTGCAGATTCTGCAAAACGTGTGTTTGGGAACTGCTCCATCATAACGAATGTTCAGCTCTCTGAGTTAAACTCCATCGTCACAAAGTTTTTTCTGAGAGTGCTACCGTCTAGTTTTTATATGAAGTTCTTTCCTTTACTACCACAGGCCTCAAAGCGGTCCAAATCTCCACTTGCAGATTCTACAAAAAGAGTGTTTGCAAACTGCTCTATCAAAAGGAATGTTCAACTCTGGGAGTTGAATGCAATCATCACAGAGCAGTTTCTGAGAATGCTTCTATGTGGTTTTTAGGAGAAGATATTTCCTTTTCCACCACAGTCCTCCAAGCCCGCTAAATATCCACTTGCACATTGTAGAAAAAGTGTGTCGAAGCTGCGCTATCAAAGGGAAAGTTCAACTCTGTGAGGTGAATGCAAACATCCCAAAGAAGTTTCTGAGAATGCTTCCGCTTAGGTTTTAGGTGAAGATTATCCCGTTTCCAACGAAATCTTCAAAGAGGTCCAAATATCCCCTTGCGGATCCCACAGAAAGAGTGTTTCGAAACTGCTGTTTCAAAAGGAATCTTCAACTCTGTGAGTTGAATGCAATCATCACAAAGAAGTTTCTGACAATGCTTCTCTCTCGTCTTTCTGTGAAGATAAAGGAAAAGGCTTTCAGGCCTTTTCCACCACAGGCCTGAAAGCGCTCCAAATATCCGCTTGCAGATTCTGCGAAAAGAATATTACAAAACTGCTCTATGAAAAGCAATGTTAAACTCTGTGGCTCGAACACAAACATCACAAAGCAGTTTCTGAGAATACTTCAGTTTAGTTTTTCTGTGGAAATATTCCCGTTTCCAAAGAAATCTTCAAAAGAGGTCCACGCATCCACTTACAGATTCTACAAAAAGACAGTTTCAAAACTGCTCAATCAAAAGGAGGGTTCAACTGTGTGACTTGAATGCAATCATCACTCAGAAGTTTCTGAGAACGCTTCTCTTTAGTTTTTACGTGAACATATACCCGTTTGGAATGAAGGCCAGCCAGTGGTCCAAATATCCACTTGAAGATTCCACAGAAAGAGTGTTTCGAACCTGAACTCTCAAAGGCAGGTTCATCTCTGCGAGTTAAATGCATTCATCATGAAGAACTTTCTCAGCGTGTTTGTGTTTAGTTATGGGAAATTATTCCCGTTTCCAAGGAAATCCTCAGAGAGCTCCAAATATCCACCTGCAGATTCTACCAAAAGTGTATTTGGAAACTGCTCCATCAACAGGAATGTTCAGCTCTGTGAGTGAAACTCCATCATCACAAAGAATATTCTGAGAATGCTTCCGTTTGCCTTTTATATGAAGTTCCTTCCTATACTACCGTAGGCCTCAAAGCAGTCCAAATCTCCATTTGCAGATTCTACAAAAAGAGTGATTCCAATCTGCTCTATCAATAGGATTGTTCAACTCCATGAGTTGAATGCCATCCTCACAAAGTCGTTTCTGAGAATGCTTCTATCTAGTTTTAATGTGAAGATATTTCCTTTTCCACCACAGGCCTCAAAGCCCTCCAAACGTCCACTTGCAGATTCTCGAAAAAGAGTGTTTCATAGCTGCTCTTTCAAAAGGAAAGTTCAACTCTGGGAGTTGAATACAAACATCACAAAGTAGTTTCCGAGAATGCTTCTGTTTAGTTTTTATGTGAAGATGATCCCGTTTCCAGTGAAATCTTCAAAGAGGTCCACATATCCCCTTGCAGATTCCAAAGAAAGAGGGTTTCAAAACTGCTCCATCAGAAGGATTGTTCAACTCTGTGAGTGGAATGCAGTCATCGCAGAAAACTTTCTGAGAATGCTTCTGTCTAGGTTTGATGTGAAGATATAGACGTTTCAAACGAAGGCTACAAAGTGGTCAAAATATACACTTGCAGATTCTACTACAAGGGTGTTGCAAACCTGAACTATCAAAGGAAGGTTCAACTCTGTGAGTTGAATACAAACATCACAAAGAATGTTCTGAGTTTGCTTCCGTTCAGTTATGGGAAGTTGATCCCGTTTCCAACGAAATCCTCAGAGAGGTCCAAATATCCCCTTGCAGATTCTACAAAACGTGTGTTTGGAAACTGCTCCATCATAACGAATGTTCAGCTCCCTGAGTTAAACTCCATCGTCACAAAGAATTTTCTGAGAGTGCTACCGTCTGGTTTTTATATGAAGTTCTTTCCTTCACTACCACAGGCCTCAAAGCGGTCCAAATCTCCACTTGCAGATTCTACAAAAAGAGTGTTTGCAAACTGCTCTATCAAAAGGAATGTTCAACTCTGGGAGTTGAATGCAATCATCACAGAGCAGTTTCTGAGAATGCTTCTATGTCGTTTTTAGGAGAAGATATTTCCTTTTCCAACACAGTCCTCCAAGCCCGCTAAATAGCCACTTGCACATTGTAGAAAAAGTGTGTCAAAGCTGCGCTATCAAAGGGAAAGTTCAACTCTGTGAGGTGAATGCAAACATCCCAAAGAAGTTTCTGAGAACGCTTCCGTTTAGCTTTTAGGTGAAGATTATCCCGTTTCCAACGAAACCTTCAAAGAGGTCCAAATATCCCCTTGCGGATCCCACAGAAAGAGTGTTTCGAAACTGCTGTTTCAAAAGGAATCTTCAACTCTGTGAGTTGAATGCAATCATCACAAAGAAGTTTCTGACAATGCTTCTCTCTCGTCTTTCTGTGAAGATAAAGGAAAAGGCTTTCAGGCCTTTGCCACCACAGGCCTGAAAGCGCTCCAAATGTCCACTTGCAGATTCTGCGAAAAGAATATTTCAAAACTGCTCTATGAAAAGCAATGTTAAACTCTGTGGCTCGAACACAAACATCACAAAGCAGTTTCTGAGAATGCTTCAGTTTAGTTTTTCTGTGGAAATATTCCCGTTTCCAAAGAAATCTTCAAAGAGGTCCACGTATCCACTTACAGATTCTACAAAAAGACAGTTTCAAAACTGCTCCATCAAAAGGAGGGTTCAACTGTGTGACTTGAATGCAATCATCACTCAGAAGTTTCTGAGAATGCTTCTCTTTAGTTTTTACGTGAACATATACCCGTTTCGAACGAAGGCCACCCAGTGGTCCAAATATCCACTTGCAGATTCTACAGAAAGAGTGTTTCGAACCTGAACTCTCAAAGGCAGGTTCATCTCTGCGAGTTAAATGCATTCATCATGAAGAACTTTCTTCAGAGTGTTTGTGTTTAGTTATGGGAAATTATTCCCGTTTCCAACGAAATCCTCAGAGAGCTCCAAATATCCACCTGCAGATTCTACCAAAAGTGTATTTGGAAACTGCTCCATCAAAAGGCATGTTCAGCTCTGTGAGTGAAACTCCATCATCACAAAGAATATTCTGAGAATGCTTCCGTTTGCCTTTTATATGAAGTTCCTTCCTGTACTACCGTAGGCCTCAAAGCAGTCCAAATCTCCATTTGCAGATTCTATAAAAAGAGTGATTCCAATCTGCTCTATCAATAGGATTGTTCAACTCCATGAGTTGAATGCCATCCTCACAAAGTAGTTTCTGAGAATGCTTCTATCTGGTTTTTGTGTGAAGATATTTCCTTTTCCACCACAGGCCTCAAAGCCCTCCAAACGTCCACTTGCAGATTCTCGAAAAAGAGTGTTTCATAGCTGCTCTTTCAAAAGGAAAGTTCAACTCTGGGAGTTGAATACAAACATCACAAAATAGTTTCCGAGAATGCTTCTGTTTAGTTTTTATGTGAAGATGATCCCGTTTCCAGTGAATTCTTCAAAGAGGTCCACATATCCCCTTGCAGATTCCAAAGAAAGAGGGTTTCAAAACTGCTCCATCAGAGGATTGTTCAACTCTGTGAGTTGAATGCAGTCATCGCAGAAAACTTTCTGAGAATGCTTCTGTCTAGGTTTGATGTGAAGATATAGACGTTTCAAACGAAGGCTACAAAGTGGTCAAAATATACACTTGCAGATTCTACTACAAGGGTGTTGCAAACCTGAACTATCAAAGGAAGGTTCAACTCTGTGAGTTGAATACAAACATCACAAAGAATGTTCTGAGTTTGCTTCCGTTCAGTTATGGGAAGTTGATCCCGTTTCCAACGAAATCCTCAGAGAGGTCCAAATATCCCCTCGCAGATTCTACAAAACGTGTGTTTGGAAACTGCTCCATCATAACGAATGTTCAGCTCCCTGAGTTAAACTCCATCGTCACAAAGAATTTTCTGAGAGTGCTACCGTCTGGTTTTTATATGAAGTTCTTTCCTTCACTACCACAGGCCTCAAAGCGGTCCAAATCTCCACTTGCAGATTCTACAAAAAGAGTGTTTGCAAACTGCTCTATCAAAAGGAATGTTCAACTCTGGGAGTTGAATGCAATCATCACAGAGCAGTTTCTGAGAATGCTTCTATGTCGTTTTTAGAAGATATTTCCTTTTCCAACACAGTCCTCCAAGCCCGCTAAATAGCCACTTGCACATTGTAGAAAAAGTGTGTCAAAGCTGCGCTATCAAAGGGAAAGTTCAACTCTGTGAGGTGAATGCAAACATCCCAAAGAAGTTTCTGAGAATGCTTCCGTTTAGCTTTTAGGTGAAGATTATCCCGTTTCCAACGAAACCTTCAAAGAGGTCCAAATATCCCCTTGCGGATCCCACAGAAAGAGTGTTTCGAAACAGCTGTTTCAAAAGGAATCTTCAACTCTGTGAGTTGAATGCAATCATCACAAAGAAGTTTCTGACAATGCTTCTCTCTCGTCTTTCTGTGAAGATAAAGGAAAAGGCTTTCAGGCCTTTGCCACCACAGGCCTGAAAGCGCTCCAAATGTCCACTTGCAGATTCTGCGAAAAGAATATTTCAAAACTGCTCTATGAAAAGCAATGTTAAACTCTGTGGCTCGAACACAAACATCACAAAGCAGTTTCTGAGAATGCTTCAGTTTAGTTTTTCTGTGGAAATATTCCCGTTTCCAAAGAAATCTTCAAAGAGGTCCACGTATCCACTTACAGATTCTACAAAAAGACAGTTTCAAAACTGCTCCATCAAAAGGAGGGTTCAACCGTGTGACTTGAATGCAATCATCACTCAGAAGTTTCTGAGAATGCTTCTCTTTAGTTTTTACGTGAACATATACCCGTTTCGAACGAAGGCCAGCCAGTGGTCCAAATATCCACTTGCAGATTCTACAGAAAGAGTGTTTCGAACCTGAACTCTCAAAGGCAGGTTCATCTCTGCGAGTTAAATGCATTCATCATGAAGAACTTTCTCAGAGTGTTTGTGTTTAGTTATGGGAAATTATTCCCGTTTCCAACGAAATCCTCAGAGAGCTCCAAATATCCACCTGCAGATTCTACCAAAAGTGTATTTGGAAACTGCTCCCATCTCAAAAGGCATGTTCAGCTCTGTGAGTGAAACTCCATCATCACAAAGAATATTCTGAGAATGCTTCCGTTTGCCTTTTATATGAAGTTCCTTCCTATACTACCGTAGGCCTCAAAGCAGTCCAAATCTCCATTTGCAGATTCTACAAAAAGAGTGATTCCAATCTGCTCTATCAATATGATTGTTCAACTCCATGAGTTGAATGCCATCCTCACAAAGTAGTTTCTGAGAATGCTTCTATGTAGTTTTTATGTGAAGATATTTCCTTTTCCACCACAGGCCTCAAAGCCCTCCAAACGTCCACTTGCAGATTCTCGAAAAAGAGTGTTTCATAGCTGCTCTTTCAAAAGGAAATTTCAACTGTGGGAGTTGAATACAAACATCACAAAGTAGTTTCCGAGAATGCTTCTGTTTAGTTCTTATGTGAAGATGATCCCGTTTCCAGTGAAATCTTCAAAGAGGTCCACATATCCCCTTGCAGATTCCAAAGAAAGAGGGTTTCAAAACTGCTCCATCAAAAGGATTGTTCAACTCTGTGAGTTGAATGCAGTCATCGCAGAAAACTTTCTGAGAATGCTTCTGTCTAGGTTTGATGTGAAGATATAGACGTTTCAAATGAAGGCTACAAAGTGTTCAAAATATACACTTGCAGATTCTACTACAAGGGTGATGCAAACCTCAACTATCAAAGGAAAGTTCAACTCTGTGAGTTGAATACAAACATCACAAAGAATGTTCTGAGTTTGCTTCCGTTCAGTTATGGGAAGTTGATCCCGTTTCCTACGAAATCCTCAGAGAGGTCCAAATATCCCCTTGCAGATTCTACAAAACGTGTGTTTGGAAACTGCTCCATCATAACGAATGTTCAGCTCTCTGAGTTGAACTCCATCGTCACAAAGAATTTTCTGAGAGTGCTACCGTCTAGTTTTTATATGAAGTTCTTTCCTTTACTACCACAGGCCTCAAAGCGGTCCAAATCTCCACTTGCAGATTCTACAAAAAGAGTGTTTGCAAACTGCTCTATCAAAAGGAATGTTCAACTCTGGGAGTTGAATGCAATCATCACAGAGCAGTTTCTGAGAATGCTTCTATGTCGTTTTTAGGAGAAGATATTTCCTTTTCCAACACAGTCCTCCAAGCCCGCTAAAGGTCCACTTGCACACTTTAGAAAAAGTGTGTCGAAGCTGCGCTATCAAAGGGAAAGTTCAACTCTGTGAGGTGAATGCAAACATCCCAAAGAAGTTTCTGAGAATGCTTCCGTTTAGCTTTTAGGTGAAGATTATCCCGTTTCCAACGAAACCTTCAAAGAGGTCCAAATATCCCCTTGCGGATCCCACAGAAAGAGTGTTTTGAAACTGCTGTTTCAAAAGGAATCTTCAACTCTGTGAGTTGAATGCAATCATCACAAAGAAGTTTCTGACAATGCTTCTCTCTCGTCTTTCTGTGAAGATAAAGGAAAAGGCTTTCAGGCCTTTTCCACCACAGGCCTGAAAGCGCTCCAAATGTCCACTTGCAGATTCTGCGAAAAGAATATTTCAAAACTGCTCTATGAAAAGCAATGTTAAACTCTGTGGCTCGAACACAAACATCACAAAGCAGTTTCTGAGAATGCTTCAGTTTAGTTTTTCTGTGGAAATATTCCCGTTTCCAAAGAAATCTTCAAAGAGGTCCACGCATCCACTTACAGATTCTACAAAAAGACAGTTTCAAAACTGCTCCATCAAAAGGAGGGTTCAACTGTGTGACTTGAATGCAATCATCACTCAGAAGTTTCTGAGAATGCTTCTCTTTAGTTTTTACGTGAACATATACCCGTTTCGAACGAAGGCCACCCAGTGGTCCAAATATCCACTTGCAGATTATACAGAAAGAGTGTTTCGAACCTGAACTCTCAAAGGCAGGTTCATCTCTGCGAGTTAAATGCATTCATCATGAAGAACTTTCTCAGAGTGTTTGTGTTTAGTTATGGGAAATTATTCCCGTTTCCAACGAAATCCTCAGAGAGCTCCAAATATCCACCTGCAGATTCTACCAAAAGTGTATTTGGAAACTGCTCCATCAAAAGGCATGTTCAGCTCTGTGAGTGAAACTCCATCATCACAAAGAATATTCTGAGAATGCTTCCGTTTGCCTTTTATATGAAGTTCCTTCCTATACGACCGTAGGCCTCAAAGCAGTCCAAATCTCCATTTGCAGATTCTACAAAAAGAGTGATTCCAATCTGCTCTATCAATAGGATTGTTCAACTCCATGAGTTGAATGCCATCCTCACAAAGTCGTTTCTGAGAATGCTTCTATCTAGTTTTTATGTGAAGATATTTCCTTTTCCACCACAGGCCTCAAAGCCCTCCAAACGTCCACTTGCAGATTCTCGAAAAAGAGTGTTTCATAGCTGCTCTTTCAAAAGGAAAGTTCAACTACTGGGAGTTGAATACAAACATCACAAAGTAGTTTCCGAGAATGCTTCTGTTTAGTTCTTATGTGAAGATGATCCCGTTTCCAGTGAAATCTTCAAAGAGGTCCACATATCCCCTTGCAGATTCCAAAGAAAGAGGGTTTCAAAACTGCTCCATCAAAAGGATTGTTCAACTCTGTGAGTTGAATGCAGTCATCGCAGAAAACTTTCTGAGAATGCTTCTGTCTAGGTTTGATGTGAAGATATAGACGTTTCAAACGAAGGCTACATAGTGGTCAACATATACACTTGCAGATTCTACTACAAGGGTGATGCAAACCTGAACTATCAAAGGAAGGTTCAACTCTGTGAGTTGAATACAAACATCACAAAGAATGTTCTGAGTTTGCTTCCGTTCAGTTATGGGAAGTTGATCCCGTTTCCAACGAAATCCTCAGAGAGGTCCAAATATCCCCTTGCAGATTCTACAAAACGTGTGTTTGGAAACTGCTCCATCATAACGAATGTTCAGCTCTCTGAGTTAAACTCCATCGTCACAAAGAATTTTCTGAGAGTGCTACCGTCTAGTTTTTATATGAAGTTCTTTCCTTTACTACCACAGGCCTCAAAGCGGTCCAAATCTCCACTTGCAGATTCTACAAAAAGAGTGTTTGCAAACTGCTCTATCAAAAGGAATGTTCAACTCTGGGAGTTGAATGCAATCATCACAGAGCAGTTTCTGAGAATGCTTCTATGTCGTTTTTAGGAGAAGATATATCCTTTTCCAACACAGTCCTCCAAGCCCGCTATGTATCCACTTGCACATTGTAGAAAAAGTGTGTCGAAGCTGTGCTATCAAAGGGAAAGTTCAACTCTGTGAGGTGAATGCAAACATCCCAAAGAAGTTTCTGAGAATGCTTCCGTTTAGCTTTAAGTGAAGATTATTCCGTTTCCAACGAAATCTTCAAAGAGGTCCAAATATCCCCTTGCGGATCCCACAGAAAGAGTGTTTCGAAACTGCTGTTTCAAAAGGAATCTTCAACTCTGTGAGTTGAATGCAATCATCACAAAGAAGTTTCTGACAATGCTTCTCTCTCGTCTTTCTGTGAAGATAAAGGAAAAGGCTTTCAGGCCATTTCCACCACAGGCCTGAAAGCGCTCCAAATGTCCACTTGCAGATTCTGCCAAAAGAATATTTCAAAACTGCTCTATGAAAAGCAATGTTAAACTCTGCGGCTCGAACACAAACATCACAAAGCAGTTTCTGAGAATGCTTCAGTTTAGTTTTTCTGTGGAAATATTCCCGTTTCCAAAGAAATCTTCAAAGAGGTCCACGCATCCACTTACAGATTCTACAAAAAGACAGTTTCAAAACTGCTCAATCAAAAGGAGGGTTCAACTGTGTGACTTGAATGCATTCATCACTCAGAAGTTTCTGAGAACGCTTCTCTTTAGTTTTTACGTGAACATATACCCGTTTCGAACGAAGGCCAGCCAGTGGTCCAAATATCCACTTGCAGATTCTACAGAAAGAGTGTTTTGAACCTGAACTCTCAAAGGCAGGTTCATCTCTGCGAGTTAAATGCATTCATCATGAAGAACTTTCTCAGCGTGTTTGTGTTTAGTTATGGGAAATTATTCCCGTTTCCAACGAAATCCTCAGAGAGCTCCAAATATCCACCTGCAGATTCTACCAAAAGTGTATTTGGAAACTGCTCCATCAAAAGGCATGTTCAGCTCTGTGAGTGAAACTCCATCATCACAAAGAATATTCTGAGAATGCTTCCGTTTGCCTTTTATATGAAGTTCCTTCCTATACTACCGTAGGCCTCAAAGCAGTCCAAATCTCCATTTGCAGATTCTACAAAAAGAGTGATTCCAATCTGCTCTATCAATAGGATTGTTCAACTCCATGAGTTGAATGCCATCCTCACAAAGTAGTTTCTGAGAATGCTTCTATCTAGTTTTTATGTGAAGATATTTCCTTTTCCACCACAGGCCTCAAAGCCCTCCAAACGTCCACTTGCAGATTCTCGAAAAAGAGTGTTTCATAGCTGCTCTTTCAAAAGGAAAGTTCAACTCTGGGAGTTGAATACAAACATCCCAAAGTAGTTTCCGAGAATGCTTCTGTTTAGTTTTTATGTGAAGATGATCCCGTTTCCAGTGAAATCTTCAAAGAGGTCCACATATCCCCTTGCAGATTCCAAAGAAAGAGGGTTTCAAAACTGCTCCATCAGAAGGATTGTTCAACTCTGTGAGTTGAATGCAGTCATCGCAGAAAACTTTCTGAGAATGCTTCTGTCTAGGTTTGATGTGAAGATATAGACGTTTCAAACGAAGGCTACAAAGTGGTCAAAATATACACTTGCAGATTCTACTACAAGGGTGTTGCAAACCTGAACTATCAAAGGAAGGTTCAACTCTGTGAGTTGAATACAAACATCACAAAGAATGTTCTGAGTTTGCTTCCGTTCAGTTATGGGAAGTTGATCCCGTTTCCAACGAAATCCTCAGAGAGGTCCAAATATCCCCTTGCAGATTCTACAAAACGTGTGTTTGGAAACTGCTCCATCATAACGAATGTTCAGCTCCCTGAGTTAAACTCCATCGTCACAAAGAATTTTCTGAGAGTGCTACCGTCTGGTTTTTATATGAAGTTCTTTCCTTCACTACCACAGGCCTCAAAGCGGTCCAAATCTCCACTTGCAGATTCTACAAAAAGAGTGTTTGCAAACTGCTCTATCAAAAGGAATGTTCAACTCTGGGAGTTGAATGCAATCATCACAGAGCAGTTTCTGAGAATGCTTCTTTGTCGTTTTTAGGAGAAGATATTTCCTTTTCCAACACAGTCCTCCAAGCCCGCTAAATAGCCACTTGCACATTGTAGAAAAAGTGTGTCAAAGCTGCGCTATCAAAGGGAAAGTTCAACTCTGTGAGGTGAATGCAAACATCCCAAAGAAGTTTCTGAGAATGCTTCCGTTTAGCTTTTAGGTGAAGATTATCCAGTTTCCAACGAAACCTTCAAATAGATCCAAATATCCCCTTGCGGTTCCCACAGAAAGAGTGTTTCGAAACTGCTGTTTCAAAAGGAATCTTCAACTCTGTGAGTTGAATGCAATCATCACAAAGAAGTTTCTGACAATGCTTCTCTCTCGTCTTTCTGTGAAGATAAAGGAAAAGGCTTTCAGGCCTTTTCCACCCACAGGCCTGAAAGCGCTCCAAATGTCCACTTGCAGATTCTGCCAAAAGAATATTTCAAAACTGCTCTATGAAAAGCAATGTTAAACTCTGCGGCTCGAACACAAACATCACAAAGCAGTTTCTGAGAATGCTTCAGTTTAGTTTTTCTGTGGAAATATTCCCGTTTCCAAAGAAATCTTCAAAGAGGTCCACGTATCCACTTACAGATTCTACAAAAAGACAGTTTCAAAACTGCTCAATCAAAAGGAGGGTTCAACCGTGTGACTTGAATGCAATCATCACTCAGAAGTTTCTGAGAATGCTTCTCTTTAGTTTTTACGTGAACATATACCCGTTTTGAACGAAGGCCACCTAGAGGTCCAAATATCCACTTGCAGATTCTACAGAAAGAGTGTTTCGAACCTGAACTCTCAAAGGCAGGTTCATCTCTGTGAGTTCAATGCATTCATCATGAAGAACTTTCTCAGAGTGTTTGTGTTT
The DNA here is from genome assembly GCF_000001405.40 of Homo sapiens. Lineage (NCBI taxonomy): Eukaryota > Metazoa > Chordata > Mammalia > Primates > Hominidae > Homo > Homo sapiens. The sequence goes on along the minus strand of NC_000023.11, from coordinate 58,999,773 downwards.
AGGTATGGGAAATTATTCCCATTTCCAACGAAATCCTCAGAGAGGTCCAAATATCCACCTGCAGATTCTACCAAAAGTGTATTTGGAAACTGCTCCATCAAAAGGCATGTTCAGCTCTGTGAGTGAAACTCCATCATCACAAAGAATATTCTGAGAATGCTTCCGTTTGCCTTTTATATGAAGTTCCTTCCTGTACTACCGTAGGCCTCAAAGCAGTCCAAATCTCCATTTGCAGATTCTACCAAAAGAGTGATTCCAATCTGCTCTATCAATAGGATTGTTCAACTCCATGAGTTGAATGCCATCCTCACAAAGTCGTTTCTGAGAATGCTTCTATCTAGTTTTTATGTGAAGATATTTCCTTTTCCACCACAGGCCTCAAGGCCCTCAAAACGTCCACTTGCAGATTCTCGAAAAAGAGTGTTTCATAGCCGCTCTTTCAAAAGGAAAGTTCAACTCTGGGAGTTGAATACAAACATCACAAAGTAGTTTCCGAGAATGCTTCTGTTTAGTTCTTATGTGAAGATGATCCCGTTTCCAGTGAAATCTTCAAAGAGGTCCACATATCCCCTTGCAGATTCCAAAGAAAGAGGGTTTCAAAACTGCTCCATCAAAAGGATTGTTCAACTCTGTGAGTTGAATGCAGTCATCGCAGAAAACTTTCTGAGAATGCTTCTGTCTAGGTTTGAGGTGAAGATATAGACGTTTCAAACGAAGGCTACAAAGTGGTCAAAATATACACTTGCAGATTCTACTACAAGGGTGTTGCAAACCTGAACTATCAAAGGAAGGTTCAACTCTGTGAGTTGAATACAAACATCACAAAGAATGTTCTGAGTTTGCTTCCGTTCAGTTATGGGAAGTTGATCCCGTTTCCAACGAAATCCTCAGAGAGGTCCAAATATCCCCTTGCAGATTCTACAAAACGTGTGTTTGGAAACTGCTCCATCATAACGAATGTTCAGCTCTCTGAGTTAAACTCCATCGTCACAAAGAATTTTCTGAGAGTGCTACCGTCTGGTTTTTATATGAAGTTCTTTCCTTTACTACCACAGGCCTCAAAGCGGTCCAAATCTCCACTTGCAGATTCTACAAAAAGAGTGTTTGCAAACTGCTCTATCAAAAGGAATGTTCAACTCTGGGAGTTGAATGCAATCATCACAGAGCAGTTTCTGAGAATGCTTCTATGTCGTTTTTAGGAGAAGATATTTCCTTTTCCAACACAGTCCTCCAAGCCCGCTAAATATCCACTTGCACATTGTAGACAAAGTTTGTCGAAGCTGCGCTATCAAAGGGAAAGTTCAACTCTGTGAGGTGAATGCAAACATCCCAAAGAAGTTTCTGAGAATGCTTCCGTTTAGCTTTTAGGTGAAGATTATCCCGTTTCCAACGAAATCTTCAAAGAGGTCCAAATATCCCCTTGCGGATCCCACAGAAAGAGTGTTTCGAAACTGCTGTTTCAAAAGGAATCTTCAACTCTGTGAGTTGAATGCAATCATCACAAAGAAGTTTCTGACAATGCTTCTCTCTCGTCTTTCTGTGAAGATAAAGGAAAAGGCTTTCAGGCCTTTTCCACCACAGGCCTGAAAGCACTCCAAATGTCCACTTGCAGATTCTGCCAAAAGAATATTTCAAAACTGCTCTATGAAAGGCAATGTTAAACTCTGTGGCTCGAACACAAACATCACAAAGCCGTTTCTGAGAATGCTTCAGTTTACTTTTTCTGTGGAAATATTCCCGTTTCGAAAGAAATCTTCAAAGAGGTCCACGCATCCACTTACAGATTCTACAAAAAGACAGTTTCAAAACTGCTCAATCAAAAGGAGGGTTCAACCGTGTGACTTGAATGCAATCATCACTCAGAAGTTTCTGAGAACGCTTCTCTTTACTTTTTACGTGAACATATACCCGTTTCGAACGAAGGCCACCCAGAGGTCCAAATATCCACTTGCAGATTCTACAGAAAGAGTGTTTCCAACCTGAACTCTCAAAGGCAGGTTCATCTCTGCGAGTTCAATACATTCATCATGAAGAACTTTCTCAGAGTGTTTGTGTTTAGGTATGGGAAATTATTCCCGTTTCCAACGAAATCCTCAGAGAGGTCCAAATATCCACCTGCAGATTCTACCAAAAGTGTATTTGGAAACTGCTCCATCAAAAGGCATGTTCAGCTCTGTGAGTGAAACTCCATCATCACAAAGTATATTCTGAGAATGCTTCCTTTTGCCTTTTATATGAAGTTCCTTCTTATACTACCGTAGGCCTCAAAGCAGTCCAAATCTCCATTTGCAGATTCTACAAAAAGAGTGATTCCAATCTGCTCTATCAATAGGATTGTTCAACTCCATGAGTTGAATGCCATCCTCACAAAGTCGTTTCTGAGAATGCTTCTATCTAGTTTTTATGTGAAGATATTTCCTTTTCCACCACAGGCCTCAAAGCCCTCCAAACGTCAACTTGCAGATTCTCGAAAAAGAGTGTTTCATAGCCGCTCTTTCAAAAGGAAAGTTCAACTCTGGGAGTTGAATACAAACATCACAAAGTAGTTTCCGAGAATGCTTCTGTTTAGTTCTTATGTGAAGATGATCCCGTTTCCAGTGAAATCTTCAAAGAGGTCCACATATCCCCTTGCAGATTCCAAAGAAAGAGGGTTTCAAAACTGCTCCATCGAAAGGATTGTTCAACTCTGTGAGTTGAATGCAGTCATCGCAGAAAACTTTCTGAGAATGCTTCTGTCTAGGTTTGAGGTGAAGATATAGACGTTTCAAACGAAGGCTACAAAGTGGTCAAAATATACACTTGCAGATTCTACTACAAGGGTGTTGCAAACCTGAACTATCAAAGGAAGGTTCAACTCTGTGAGTTGAATACAAACATCACAAAGAATGTTCTGAGTTTGCTTCCGTTCAGTTATGGGAAGTTGATCCCGTTTCCAACGAAATCCTCAGAGAGGTCCAAATATCCCCTTGCAGATTCTACAAAACGTGTGTTTGGAAACTGCTCCATCATAACGAATGTTCAGCTCTCTGAGTTAAACTCCATCGTCACAAAGAATTTTCTGAGAGTGCTACCGTCTAGTTTTTATATGAAGTTCTTTCCTTTACTACCACAGGCCTCAAAGCGGTCCAAATCTCCACTTGCAGATTCTACAAAAAGAGTGTTTGCAAAGTGCTCTATCAAAAGGAATGTTCAACTCTGGGAGTTGAATGCAATCATCACAGAGCAGTTTCTGAGAATGCTTCTATGTCGTTTTTAGGAGAAGATATTTCCTTTTCCAACACAGTCCTCCAAGCCCGCTAAATATCCACTTGCACATTGTAGAAAAAGTGTGTCGAAGCTGCGCTATCAAAGGGAAAGTTCAACTCTGTGAGGTGAATGCAAACATCCCAAAGAAGTTTCTGAGAATGCTTCCGTTTAGCTTTTAGGTGAAGATTATCCCGTTTCCAACGAAATCTTCAAAGAGGTCCAAATATCCCCTTGCGGATCCCACAGAAAGAGTGTTTCGAAACTGCTGTTTCAAAAGGAATCTTCAACTCTGTGAGTTGAATGCAATCATCACAAAGAAGTTTCTGACAATGCTTCTCTCTCGTCTTTCTGTGAAGATAAAGGAAAAGGCTTTCAGGCCTTTTCCACCACAGGCCTGAAAGCGCTCCAAATGTCCACTTGCAGATTCTGCGAAAAGAATATTTCAAAACTGCTCTATGAAAAGCAATGTTAAACTCTGTGGCTCGAACACAAACATCACAAAGCGGTTTCTGAGAATGCTTCAGTTTAGTTTTTCTGTGGAAATATTCCCGTTTCCAAAGAAATCTTCAAAGAGGTCCACGTATCCACTTACAGATTCTACAAAAAGACAGTTTCAAAACTGCTCCATCAAAAGGAGGGTTCAACTGTGTGACTTGAATGCAATCATCACTCAGAAGTTTCTGAGAATGCTTCTCTTTAGTTTTTACGTGAACATATACCCGTTTCGAACGAAGGCCACCCAGTGGTCCAAATATCCACTTGCAGATTCTACAGAAAGAGTGTTTCGAACCTGAACTCTCAAAGGCAGGTTCATCTCTGCGAGTTAAATGCATTCATCATGAAGAACTTTCTCAGAGTGTTTGTGTTTAGTTATGGGAAATTATTCCCGTTTCCAACGAAATCCTCAGAGAGCTCCAAATATCCACCTGCAGATTCTACCAAAAGTGTATTTGGAAACTGCTCCATCAAAAGGCATGTTCAGCTCTGTGCGTGAAACTCCATCGTCACAAAGAATATTCTGAGAATGCTTCCGTTTGCCTTTTATATGAAGTTCCTTCCTATACGACCGTAGGCCTCAAAGCAGTCCAAATCTCCATTTGCAGATTCTACAAAAAGAGTGATTCCAATCTGCTCTATCAATAGGATTGTTCAACTCCATGAGTTGAATGCCATCCTCACAAAGTCGTTTCTGAGAATGCTTCTATCTAGTTTTTATGTGAAGATATTTCCTTTTCCACCACAGGCCTCAAAGCCTTCCAAACGTCCACTTGCAGATTCTCGAAAAAGAGTGTTTCATAGCTGCTCTTTCAAAAGGAAAGTTCAACTCTGGGAGTTGAATACAAACATCACAAAGTAGTTTCCGAGAATGCTTCTGTTTAGTTTTTATGTGAAGATGATCGATCCCGTTTCCAGTGAAATCTTCAAAGAGGTCCACATATCCCCTTGCAGATTCCAAAGAAAGAGGGTTTCAAAACTGCTCCATCAGAAGGATTGTTCAACTCTGTGAGTTGAATGCAGTCATCGCAGAAAACTTTCTGAGAATGCTTCTGTCTAGGTTTGATGTGAAGATATAGACGTTTCAAACGAAGGCTACAAAGTGGTCAAAATATACACTTGCAGATTCTACTACAAGGGTGTTGCAAACCTGAACTATCAAAGGAAGGTTCAACTCTGTGAGTTGAATACAAACATCACAAAGAATGTTCTGAGTTTGCTTCCGTTCAGTTATGGGAAGTTGATCCCGTTTCCAACGAAATCCTCAGAGAGGTCCAAATATCCCCTCGCAGATTCTACAAAACGTGTGTTTGGAAACTGCTCCATCATAACGAATGTTCAGCTCCCTGAGTTAAACTCCATCGTCACAAAGAATTTTCTGAGAGTGCTACCGTCTGGTTTTTATATGAAGTTCTTTCCTTCACTACCACAGGCCTCAAAGCGGTCCAAATCTCCACTTGCAGATTCTACAAAAAGAGTGTTTGCAAACTGCTCTATCAAAAGGAATGTTCAACTCTGGGAGTTGAATGCAATCATCACAGAGCAGTTTCTGAGAATGCTTCTATGTCGTTTTTAGGAGAAGATATTTCCTTTTCCAACACCGTCCTCCAAGCCCGCTAAATAGCCACTTGCACATTGTAGAAAAAGTGTGTCAAAGCTGCGCTATCAAAGGGAAAGTTCAACTCTGTGAGGTGAATGCAAACATCCCAAAGAAGTTTCTGAGAATGCTTCCGTTTAGCTTTTAGGTGAAGATTATCCCGTTTCCAACGAAACCTTCAAAGAGGTCCAAATATCCCCTTGCGGATCCCACAGAAAGAGTGTTTCGAAACTGCTGTTTCAAAAGGAATCTTCAACTCTGTGAGTTGAATGCAATCATCACAAAGAAGTTTCTGACAATGCTTCTCTCTCGTCTTTCTGTGAAGATAAAGGAAAAGGCTTTCAGGCCTTTTCCACCACAGGCCTGAAAGCGCTCCAAATGTCCACTTGCAGATTCTGCGAAAAGAATATTTCAAAACTGCTCTATGAAAAGCAATGTTAAACTCTGTGGCTCGAACACAAACATCACAAAGCGGTTTCTGAGAATGCTTCAGTTTAGTTTTTCTGTGGAAATATTCCCGTTTCCAAAGAAATCTTCAAAGAGGTCCACGTATCCACTTACAGATTCTACAAAAAGACAGTTTCAAAACTGCTCCATCAAAAGGAGGGTTCAACTGTGTGACTTGAATGCAATCATCACTCAGAAGTTTCTGAGAATGCTTCTCTTTAGTTTTTACGTGAACATATACCCGTTTCGAACGAAGGCCACCCAGTGGTCCAAATATCCACTTGCAGATTATACAGAAAGAGTGTTTCGAACCTGAACTCTCAAAGGCAGGTTCATCTCTGCGAGTTAAATGCATTCATCATGAAGAACTTTCTCAGAGTGTTTGTGCTTAGTTATGGGAAATTATTCCCGTTTCCAACGAAATCCTCAGAGTGGTCCAAATATCCACCTGCAGATTCTACCAAAAGTGTATTTGGAAACTGCTCCATCAAAAGGCATGTTCAGCTCTGTGAGTGAAACTCCATCATCACAAAGAATATTCTGAGAATGCTTCCGTTTGCCTTTTATCTGAAGTTCCTTCCTATACGACCGTAGGCCTCAAAGCAGTCCAAATCTCCATTTGCAGATTCTACAAAAAGAGTGATTCCAATCTGCTCTATCAATAGGATTGTTCAACTCCATGAGTTGAATGCCATCCTCACAAAGTCGTTTCTGAGAATGCTTCTATCTAGTTTTTATGTGAAGATATTTCCTTTTCCACCACAGGCCTCAAAGCCCTCCAAACGTCCACTTGCAGATTCTCGAAAAAGAGTGTTTCATAGCTGCTCTTTCAAAAGGAAAGTTCAACTCTGGGAGTTGAATACAAACATCACAAAGTAGTTTCCGAGAATGCTTCTGTTTAGTTTTTATGTGAAGATGATCCCGTTTCCAGTGAAATCTTCAAAGAGGTCCACATATCCCCTTGCAGATTCCAAAGAAAGAGGGTTTCAAAACTGCTCCATCAGAAGGATTGTTCAACTCTGTGAGTTGAATGCAGTCATCGCAGAAAACTTTCTGAGAATGCTTCTGTCTAGGTTTGATGTGAAGATATAGACGTTTCAAACGAAGGCTACAAAGTGGTCAAAATATACACTTGCAGATTCTACTACAAGGGTGTTGCAAACCTGAACTATCAAAGGAAGGTTCAACTCTGTGAGTTGAATACAAACATCACAAAGAATGTTCTGAGTTTGCTTCCGTTCAGTTATGGGAAGTTGATCCCGTTTCCAACGAAATCCTCAGAGAGGTCCAAATATCCCCTTGCAGATTCTACAAAACGTGTGTTTGGAAACTGCTCCATCATAACGAATGTTCAGCTCCCTGAGTTAAACTCCATCGTCACAAAGAATTTTCTGAGAGTGCTACCGTCTGGTTTTTATATGAAGCTCTTTCCTTCACTACCACAGGCCTCAAAGCGGTCCAAATCTCCACTTCCAGATTCTACAAAAAGAGTGTTTGCAAACTGCTCTATCAAAAGGAATGTTCAACTCTGGGAGTTGAATGCAATCATCACAGAGCAGTTTCTGAGAATGCTTCTATGTCGTTTTTAGGAGAAGATATTTCCTTTTCCAACACAGTCCTCCAAGCCCGCTAAATAGCCACTTGCACATTGTAGAAAAAGTGTGTCAAAGCTGCGCTATCAAAGGGAAAGTTCAACTCTGTGAGGTGAATGCAAACATCCCAAAGAAGTTTCTGAGAATGCTTCCGTTTAGCTTTTAGGTGAAGATTATCCCGTTTCCAACGAAACCTTCAAAGAGGTCCAAATATCCCCTTGCGGATCCCACAGAAAGAGTGTTTCGAAACTGCTGTTTCAAAAGGAATCTTCAACTCTGTGAGTTGAATGCAATCATCGCAAAGAAGTTTCTGACAATGCTTCTCTCTCGTCTTTCTGTGAAGGTAAAGGAAAAGGCTTTCAGGACTTTTCCACCACAGGCCTGAAAGCGCTCCAAATGTCCACTTGCAGATTCTGCCAAAAGAATATTTCAAAACTGCTCTATGAAACGCAATGTTAAACTCTGTGGCTCGAACACAAACATCACAAGGCGGTTTCTGAGAATGATTCAGTTTAGTTTTTCTGTGGAAATATTCCCGTTTCCAAAGAAATCTTCAAAGAGGTCCACGTATCCACTTACAGATTCTACAAAAAGACAGTTTCAAAACTGCTCCATCAAAAGGAGGGTTCAACTGTGTGACTTGAATGCAATCATCACTCAGAAGTTTCTGAGAATGCTTCTCTTTAGTTTTTACGTGAACATATACCCGTTTCGAACGAAGGCCAGCCAGTGGTCCAAATATCCACTTGCAGATTCTACAGAAAGAGTGTTTCGAACCTGAACTCTCAAAGGCAGGTTCATCTCTGCGAGTTAAATGCATTCATCATGAAGAACTTTCTCAGAGTGTTTGTGTTTAGTTATGGGAAATTATTCCCGTTTCCAACGAAATCCTCAGAGAGCTCCAAATATCCACCTGCAGATTCTACCAAAAGTGTATTTGGAAACTGCTCCATCAAAAGGCATGTTCAGCTCTGTCAGTGAAACTCCATCATCACAAAGAATATTCTGAGAATGCTTCCGTTTGCCTTTTATCTGAAGTTCCTTCCTATACGACCGTAGGCCTCAAAGCAGTCCAAATCTCCATTTGCAGATTCCACAAAAAGAGTGATTCCAATCTGCTCTATCAATAGGATTGTTCAACTCCATGAGTTGAATGCCATCCTCACAAAGTCGTTTCTGAGAATGCTTCTATCTAGTTTTTATGTGAAGATATTTCTTTTTCCACCACAGGCCTCAAAGCCCTCCAAACGTCCACTTGCAGATTCTCGAAAAAGAGTGTTTCATAGCTGCTCTTTCAAAAGGAAAGTTCAACTCTGGCAGTTGAATACAAACATCACAAAGTAGTTTCCGAGAATGCTTCTGTTTAGTTTTTATGTGAAGATGATCCCGTTTCCAGTGAAATCTTCAAAGAGGTCCACATATCCCCTTGCAGATTCCAAAGAAAGAGGGTTTCAAAACTGCTCCATCAGAAGGATTGTTCAACTCTGTGAGTTGAATGCAGTCATCGCAGAAAACTTTCTGAGAATGCTTCTGTCTAGGTTTGATGTGAAGATATAGACGTTTCAAACGAAGGCTACAAAGTGGTCAAAATATACACTTGCAGATTCTACTACAAGGGTGTTGCAAACCTGAACTATCAAAGGAAGGTTCAACTCTGTGAATTGAATACAAACATCACAAAGAATGTTCTGAGTTTGCTTCCGTTCAGTTATGGGAAGTTGATCCCGTTTCCAACGAAATCCTCAGAGAGGTCCAAATATCCCCTCGCAGATTCTACAAAACATGTGTTTGGAAACTGCTCCATCATAACGAATGTTCAGCTCCCTGAGTTAAACTCCATCGTCACAAAGAATTTTCTGAGAGTGCTACCGTCTGGTTTTTATATGAAGTTCTTTCCTTCACTACCACAGGCCTCAAAGCGGTCCAAATCTCCACTTGCAGATTCTACAAAAAGAGTGTTTGCAAACTGCTCTATCAAAAGGAATGTTCAACTCTGGGAGTTGAATGCAATCATCACAGAGCAGTTTCTGAGAATGCTTCTATGTCGTTTTTAGGAGAAGATATTTCCTTTTCCAACACAGTCCTCCAAGCCCGCTAAATAGCCACTTGCACATTGTAGAAAAAGTGTGTCAAAGCTGCGCTATCAAAGGGAAAGTTCAACTCTGTGAGGTGAATGCAAACATCCCAAAGAAGTTTCTGAGAATGCTTCCGTTTAGCTTTTAGGTGAAGATTATCCCGTTTCCAACGAAACCTTCAAAGAGGTCCAAATATCCCCTTGCGGATCCCACAGAAAGAGTGTTTCGAAACTGCTGTTTCAAAAGGAATCTTCAACTCTGTGAGTTGAATGCAATCATCACAAAGAAGTTTCTGACAATGCTTCTCTCTCGTCTTTCTGTGAAGATAAAGGAAAAGGCTTTCAGGCCTTTTCCACCACAGGCCTGAAAGCGCTCCAAATGTCCACTTGCAGATTCTGCCAAAAGAATATTTCAAAACTGCTCTATGAAAAGCAATGTTAAACTCTGCGGCTCGAACACCAACATCACAAAGCAGTTTCTGAGAATGCTTCAGTTTAGTTTTTCTGTGGAAATATTCCCGTTTCCAAAGAAATCTTCAAAGAGGTCCACGTATCCACTTACAGATTCTACAAAAAGACAGTTTCAAAACTGCTCCATCAAAAGGAGGGTTCAACTGTGTGACTTGAATGCAATCATCACTCAGAAGTTTCTGAGAATGCTTGTCTTTAGTTTTTACGTGAACATATACCCGTTTCGAACGAAGGCCAGCCAGTGGTCCAAATATCCACTTGCAGATTCTACAGAAAGAGTGTTTCGAACATGAACTCTCAAAGGCAGGTTCATCTCTGCGAGTTAAATGCATTCATCATGAAGAACTTTCTCAGAGTGTTTGGGATATAGTCTTGTGGTGCGCCGTTTCTTAAGCCGGTCTGAAAAGCGCAATATTCGGGTGGGAGTGACCCGATTTTCCAGGTGCGTCCGTCACCCCTTTCTTTGACTCGGAAAGGGAACTCCCTGACCCGTGCGCTTCCCAGGTGAGGCAATGCCTCGCCCTGCTTCGGCTCGCGCACGGTGCGCACACACACTGGCCTGCGCCCACTGTCTGGCACTCCCTATTGAGATGAACCCGGTACCTCAGATGGAAATGCAGAAATCACCGTCTTCTGCGTCGCTCACGCTGGGAGCTGTAGACCGGAGCTGTTCCTATTCGGCCATCTTGGCTCCTCCCTCCTGTCTCTCTCAGAATATTCTTTGTGATGATGGAGTTTCACTCACAGAGCTGAACATGCCTTTTGATGGAGCAGTTTCCAAATACACTTTTGGTAGAATCTGCAGGTGGATATTTGGAGCTCTCTGAGGATTTCGTTGGAAACGGGAATAATTTCCCATAACTAAACACA
>NC_000023.11:58736286-58804505 GCF_000001405.40 Homo sapiens | reverse complement strand
TCCCGTTTGCCTTTTATATGAAGTTCCTTCCTGTACTACCGTAGGCCTCAAAGCAGTCCAAATCTCCATTTGCAGATTCTATAAAAAGAGTGATTCCAATCTGCTCTATCAATAGGATTGTTCAACTCCATGAGTTGAATGCCATCCTCACAAAGTAGTTTCTGAGAATGCTTCTATCTAGTTTTTATGTGAAGGTATTTCCTTTTCCACCACAGGCCTCCAAGCCCTCCAAACGTCCACTTGCAGATTCTCGAAAAAGAGTGTTTCATAGCTGCTCTTTCAAAAGGAAAGTTCAACTCTGGGAGTTGAATACAAACATCACAAAGTAGTTTCCGAGAATGCTTCTGTTTAGTTTTTATGTGAAGATGATCCCGTTTCCAGTGAAATCTTCAAAGAGGTCCACATATCCCCTTGCAGATTCCAAAGAAAGAGGGTTTCAAAACTGCTCCATCAGAAGGATTGTTCAACTCTGTGAGTTGAATGCAGTCATCGCAGAAAACTTTCTGAGAATGCTTCTGTCTAGGTTTGATGTGAAGATATAGACGTTTCAAACGAAGGCTACAAAGTGGTCAAAATATACACTTGCAGATTCTACTACAAGGGTGTTGCAAACCTGAACTATCAAAGGAAGGTTCAACTCTGTGAATTGAATACAAACATCACAAAGAATGTTCTGAGTTTGCTTCCGTTCAGTTATGGGAAGTTGATCCCGTTTCCAACGAAATCCTCAGAGAGGTCCAAATATCCCCTCGCAGATTCTACAAAACGTGTGTTTGGAAACTGCTCCATCATAACGAATGTTCAGCTCCCTGAGTTAAACTCCATCGTCACAAAGAATTTTCTGAGAGTGCTACCGTCTGGTTTTTATATGAAGTTCTTTCCTTCACTACCACAGGCCTCAAAGCGGTCCAAATCTCCACTTGCAGATTCTACAAAAAGAGTGTTTGCAAACTGCTCTATCAAAAGGAATGTTCAACTCTGGGAGTTGAATGCAATCATCACAGAGCAGTTTCTGAGAATGCTTCTATGTCGTTTTTAGAAGATATTTCCTTTTCCAACACAGTCCTCCAAGCCCGCTAAATAGCCACTTGCACATTGTAGAAAAAGTGTGTCAAAGCTGCGCTATCAAAGGGAAAGTTCAACTCTGTGAGGTGAATGCAAACATCCCAAAGAAGTTTCTGAGAATGCTTCCGTTTAGCTTTTAGGTGAAGATTATCCCGTTTCCAACGAAACCTTCAAAGAGGTCCAAATATCCCCTTGCGGATCCCACAGAAAGAGTGTTTCGAAACTGCTGTTTCAAAAGGAATCTTCAACTCTGTGAGTTGAATGCAATCATCACAAAGAAGTTTCTGACAATGCTTCTCTCTCGTCTTTCTGTGAAGATAAAGGAAAAGGCTTTCAGGCCTTTTCCACCACAGGCCTGAAAGCGCTCCAAATGTCCACTTGCAGATTCTGCGAAAAGAATATTTCAAAACTGCTCTATGAAAAGCAATGTTAAACTCTGTGGCTCGAACACAAACATCACAAAGCGGTTTCTGAGAATGCTTCAGTTTAGTTTTTCTGTGGAAATATTCCCGTTTCCAAAGAAATCTTCAAAGAGGTCCACGTATCCACTTACAGATTCTACAAAAAGACAGTTTCAAAACTGCTCCATCAAAAGGAGGGTTCAACCGTGTGACTTGAATGCAATCATCACTCAGAAGTTTCTGAGAATGCTTCTCTTTAGTTTTTACGTGAACATATACCCGTTTCGAACGAAGGCCACCCAGTGGTCCAAATATCCACTTGCAGATTATACAGAAAGAGTGTTTCGAACCTGAACTCTCAAAGGCAGGTTCATCTCTGCGGGTTAAAAGCATTCATCATGAAGAACTTTCTCAGAGTGTTTGTGTTTAGTTATGGGAAATTATTCCCGTTTCCAACGAAATCCTCAGAGAGCTCCAAATATCCACCTGCAGATTCTACCAAAAGTGTATTTGGAAACTGCTCCATCAAAAGGCATGTTCAGCTCTGTGAGTGAAACTCCATCATCACAAAGAATATTCTGAGAATGCTTCCGTTTGCCTTTTATATGAAGTTCCTTCCTGTACTACCGTAGGCCTCAAAGCAGTCCAAATCTCCATTTGCAGATTCTATAAAAAGAGTGATTCCAATCTGCTCTATCAATAGGATTGTTCAACTCCATGAGTTGAATGCCATCCTCACAAAGTAGTTTCTGAGAATGCTTCTATCTGGTTTTTGTGTGAAGATATTTCCTTTTCCACCACAGGCCTCAAAGCCCTCCAAACGTCCACTTGCAGATTCTCGAAAAAGAGTGTTTCATAGCTGCTCTTTCAAAAGGAAAGTTCAACTCTGGGAGTTGAATGCAAACATCACAAAATAGTTTCCGAGAATGCTTCTGTTTAGTTTTTATGTGAAGATGATCCCGTTTCCAGTGAAATCTTCAAAGAGGTCCACATATCCCCTTGCAGATTCCAAAGAAAGAGGGTTTCAAAACTGCTCCATCAGAAGGATTGTTCAACTCTGTGAGTTGAATGCAGTCATCGCAGAAAACTTTCTGAGAATGCTTCTGTCTAGGTTTGATGTGAAGATATAGACGTTTCAAACGAAGGCTACAAAGTGGTCAAAATATACACTTGCAGATTCTACTACAAGGGTGTTGCAAACCTGAACTATCAAAGGAAGGTTCAACTCTGTGAGTTGAATACAAACATCACAAAGAATGTTCTGAGTTTGCTTCCGTTCAGTTATGGGAAGTTGATCCCGTTTCCAACGAAATCCTCAGAGAGGTCCAAATATCCCCTCGCAGATTCTACAAAACGTGTGTTTGGAAACTGCTCCATCATAACGAATGTTCAGCTCCCTGAGTTAAACTCCATCGTCACAAAGAATTTTCTGAGAGTGCTACCGTCTGGTTTTTATATGAAGTTCTTTCCTTCACTACCACAGGCCTCAAAGCGGTCCAAATCTCCACTTGCAGATTCTACAAAAAGAGTGTTTGCAAACTGCTCTATCAAAAGGAATGTTCAACTCTGGGAGTTGAATGCAATCATCACAGAGCAGTTTCTGAGAATGCTTCTATGTCGTTTTTAGGAGAAGATATTTCCTTTTCCAACACAGTCCTCCAAGCCCGCTAAATAGCCACTTGCACATTGTAGAAAAAGTGTGTCAAAGCTGCGCTATCAAAGGGAAAGTTCAACTCTGTGAGGTGAATGCAAACATCCCAAAGAAGTTTCTGAGAATGCTTCCGTTTAGCTTTTAGGTGAAGATTATCCCGTTTCCAACGAAACCTTCAAAGAGGTCCAAATATCCCCTTGCGGATCCCACAGAAAGAGTGTTTCGAAACTGCTGTTTCAAAAGGAATCTTCAACTCTGTGAGTTGAATGCAATCATCACAAAGAAGTTTCTGACAATGCTTCTCTCTCGTCTTTCTGTGAAGATAAAGGAAAAGGCTTTCAGGCCTTTTCCACCACAGGCCTGAAAGCGCTCCAAATGTCCACTTGCAGATTCTGCCAAAAGAATATTTCAAAACTGCTCTATGAAAAGCAATGTTAAACTCTGTGGCTCGAACACAAACATCACAAAGCGGTTTCTGAGAATGATTCAGTTTAGTTTTTCTGTGGAAATATTCCCGTTTCCAAAGAAATCTTCAAAGAGGTCCACGTATCCACTTACAGATTCTACAAAAAGACAGTTTCAAAACTGCTCCATCAAAAGGAGGGTTCAACCGTGTGACTTGAATGCAATCATCACTCAGAAGTTTCTGAGAATGCTTCTCTTTAGTTTTTACGTGAACATATACCCGTTTCGAACGAAGGCCACCCAGTGGTCCAAATATCCACTTGCAGATTATACAGAAAGAGTGTTTCGAACCTGAACTCTCAAAGGCAGGTTCATCTCTGCGAGTTAAATGCATTCATCATGAAGAACTTTCTCAGAGTGTTTGTGTTTAGTTATGGGAAATTATTCCCCTTTCCAACGAAATCCTCAGAGAGCTCCAAATATCCACCTGCAGATTCTACCAAAAGTGTATTTGGAAACTGCTCCATCAAAAGGCATGTTCAGCTCTGTGAGTGAAACTCCATCATCACAAAGAATATTCTGAGAATGCTTCCGTTTGCCTTTTATATGAAGTTCCTTCCTGTACTACCGTAGGCCTCAAAGCAGTCCAAATCTCCATTTGCAGATTCTACAAAAAGAGTGATTCCAATCTGCTCTATCAATAGGATTGTTCAACTCCATGAGTTGAATGCCATCCTCACAAAGCAGTTTCTGAGAATGCTTCTATCTGGTTTTTGTGTGAAGATATTTCCTTTTCCACCACAGGCCTCAAAGCCCTCCAAACGTCCACTTGCAGATTCTCGAAAAAGAGTGTTTCATAGCTGCTCTTTCAAAAGGAAAGTTCAACTCTGGCAGTTGAATACAAACATCACAAAGTAGTTTCCGAGAATGCTTCTGTTTAGTTTTTATGTGAAGATGATCCCGTTTCCAGTGAAATCTTCAAAGAGGTCCACATATCCCCTTGCAGATTCCAAAGAAAGAGGGTTTCAAAACTGCTCCATCAGAAGGATTGTTCAACTCTGTGAGTTGAATGCAGTCATCGCAGAAAACTTTCTGAGAATGCTTCTGTCTAGGTTTGATGTGAAGATATAGACGTTTCAAACGAAGGCTACAAAGTGGTCAAAATATACACTTGCAGATTCTACTACAAGGGTGTTGCAAACCTGAACTATCAAAGGAAGGTTCAACTCTGTGAGTTGAATACAAACATCACAAAGAATGTTCTGAGTTTGCTTCCGTTCAGTTATGGGAAGTTGATCCCGTTTCCAACGAAATCCTCAGAGAGGTCCAAATATCCCCTCGCAGATTCTACAAAACGTGTGTTTGGAAACTGCTCCATCATAACGAATGTTCAGCTCCCTGAGTTAAACTCCATCGTCACAAAGAATTTTCTGAGAGTGCTACCGTCTGGTTTTTATATGAAGTTCTTTCCTTCACTACCACAGGCCTCAAAGCGGTCCAAATCTCCACTTGCAGATTCTACAAAAAGAGTGTTTGCAAACTGCTCTATCAAAAGGAATGTTCAACTCTGGGAGTTGAATGCAATCATCACAGAGCAGTTTCTGAGAATGCTTCTATGTCGTTTTTAGGAGAAGATATTTCCTTTTCCAACACCGTCCTCCAAGCCCGCTAAATAGCCACTTGCACATTGTAGAAATAGTGTGTCAAAGCTGCGCTATCAAAGGGAAAGTTCAACTCTGTGAGGTGAATGCAAACATCCCAAAGAAGTTTCTGAGAATGCTTCCGTTTAGCTTTTAGGTGAAGATTATCCCGTTTCCAACGAAACCTGCAAAGAGGTCCAAATATCCCCTTGCGGATCCCACAGAAAGAGTGTTTCGAAACTGCTGTTTCAAAAGGAATCTTCAACTCTGTGAGCTGAATGCAATCATCACAAAGAAGTTTCTGACAATGCTTCTCTCTCGTCTTTCTGTGAAGATAAAGGAAAAGGCTTTCAGGCCTTTTCCACCACAGGCCTGAAAGCGCTCCAAATGTCCACTTGCAGATTCTGCGAAAAGAATATTTCAAAACTGCTCTATGAAAAGCAATGTTAAACTCTGTGGCTGGAACACAAACATCACAAAGCGGTTTCTGAGAATGTTTCAGTTTAGTTTTTCTGTGGAAATATTCCCGTTTCCAAAGAAATCTTCAAAGAGGTCCACGTATCCACTTACAGATTCTACAAAAAGACAGTTTCAAAACTGCTCCATCAAAAAGAGGGTTCAACTGTGTGACTTGAATGCAATCATCACTCAGAAGTTTCTGAGAATGCTTCTCTTTAGTTTTTACGTGAACATATACCCGTTTCGAACGAAGGTCAGCCAGTGGTCCAAATATCCACTTGCAGATTCTACAGAAAGAGTGTTTCGAACATGAACTCTCAAAGGCAGGTCCATCTCTGCGAGTTAAATGCATTCATCATGAAGAACTTTCTCAGCGTGTTTGTGTTTAGTTATGGGAAATTATTCCCGTTTCCAACGAAATCCTCAGAGAGGTCCAAATATCCACCTACAGATTCTACCAAAAGTGTATTTGGAAACTGCTCCATCAAAAGGCATGTTCAGCTCTGTGTGTGAAACTCCATCATCACAAATAATATTCTGAGAATGCTTCCGTTTGCCTTTTATATGAAGCTCCTTCCTATACTACCGTAGGCCTCAAAGCAGTCCAAATCTTCATTTGCAGATTCTACAAAAAGAGTGATTCCAATCTGCTCTATCAATAGGATTGTTCAACTCCATGAGTTGAATGCCATCCTCACAAAGTCGTTTCTGAGAATGCTTCTATCTAGTTTTTATGTGAAGATATTTCCTTTTCCACCACAGGCCTCAAAGCCCTCCAAACGTCCACTTGCAGATTCTCGAAAAAGAGTGTTTCATAGCTGCTCTTTCAAAAGGAAAGTTCAACTCTGGGAGTTGAATACAAACATCACAAAGTAGTTTCCGAGAATGCTTCTGTTTAGTTTTTATGTGAAGATGATCCCGTTTCCAGTGAAATCTTTCAAAGAGGTCCACATATCCCCTTGCAGATTCCAAAGAAAGAGGGTTTCAAAACTGCTCCATCAGAAGGATTGTTCAACTCTGTGAGTTGAATGCAGTCATCGCAGAAAACTTTCTGAGAATGCTTCTGTCTAGGTTTGATGTGAAGATATAGACGTTTCAAACGAAGGCTACAAAGTGGTCAAAATATACACTTGCAGATTCTACTACAAGGGTGTTGCAAACCTGAACTATCAAAGGAAGGTTCAACTCTGTGAGTTGAATACAAACATCACAAAGAATGTTCTGAGTTTGCTTCCGTTCAGTTATGGGAAGTTGATCCCGTTTCCAACGAAATCCTCAGAGAGGTCCAAATATCCCCTTGCAGATTCTACAAAACGTGTGTTTGGAAACTGCTCCATCATAACGAATGTTCAGCTCCCTGAGTTAAACTCCATCGTCACAAAGAATTTTCTGAGAGTGCTACCGTCTGGTTTTTATATGAAGTTCTTTCCTTCACTACCACAGGCCTCAAAGCGGTCCAAATCTCCACTTGCAGATTCTACAAAAAGAGTGTTTGCAAACTGCTCTATCAAAAGGAATGTTCAACTCTGGGAGTTGAATGCAATCATCACAGAGCAGTTTCTGAGAATGCTTCTATGTCGTTTTTAGGAGAAGATATTTCCTTTTCCAACACAGTCCTCCAAGCCCGCTAAATAGCCACTTGCACATTGTAGAAAAAGTGTGTCAAAGCTGCGCTATCAAAGGGAAAGTTCAACTCTGTGAGGTGAATGCAAACATCCCAAAGAAGTTTCTGAGAATGCTTCCGTTTAGCTTTTAGGTGAAGATTATCCCGTTTCCAACGAAACCTTCAAAGAGGTCCAAATATCCCCTTGCGGATCCCACAGAAAGAGTGTTTCGAAACTGCTGTTTCAAAAGGAATCTTCAACTCTGTGAGTTGAATGCAATCATCACAAAGAAGTTTCTGACAATGCTTCTCTCTCGTCTTTCTGTGAAGATAAAGGAAAAGGCTTTCAGGCCTTTTCCACCACAGGCCTGAAAGCGCTCCAAATGTCCACTTGCAGATTCTGCGAAAAGAATATTTCAAAACTGCTCTATGAAAAGCAATGTTAAACTCTGTGGCTGGAACACAAACATCACAAAGCGGTTTCTGAGAATGTTTCAGTTTAGTTTTTCTGTGGAAATATTCCCGTTTCCAAAGAAATCTTCAAAGAGGTCCACGTATCCACTTACAGATTCTACAAAAAGACAGTTTCAAAACTGCTCCATCAAAAGGAGGGTTCAACTGTGTGACTTGAATGCAATCATCACTCAGAAGTTTCTGAGAATGCTTCTCTTTAGTTTTTACGTGAACATATACCCGTTTCGAACGAAGGCCACCCAGTGGTCCAAATATCCACTTGCAGATTATACAGAAAGAGTGTTTCGAACCTGAACTCTCAAAGGCAGGTTCATCTCTGCGAGTTAAATGCATTCATCATGAAGAACTTTCTCAGAGTGTTTGTGTTTAGTTATGGGAAATTATTCCCGTTTCCAACGAAATCCTCAGAGAGCTCCAAATATCCACCTGCAGATTCTACCAAAAGTGTATTTGGAAACTGCTCCATCAAAAGGCATGTTCAGCTCTGTCAGTGAAACTCCATCATCACAAAGAATATTCTGAGAATGCTTCCGTTTGCCTTTTATCTGAAGTTCCTTCCTATACGACCGTAGGCCTCAAAGCAGTCCAAATCTCCATTTGCAGATTCCACAAAAAGAGTGATTCCAATCTGCTCTATCAATAGGATTGTTCAACTCCATGAGGTTGAATGCCATCCTCACAAAGTCGTTTCTGAGAATGCTTCTATCTAGTTTTTATGTGAAGATATTTCCTTTTCCACCACAGGCCTCAAAGCCCTCCAAACGTCCACTTGCAGATTCTCGAAAAAGAGTGTTTCATAGCTGCTCTTTCAAAAGGAAAGTTCAACTCTGGCAGTTGAATACAAACATCACAAAGTAGTTTCCGAGAATGCTTCTGTTTAGTTTTTATGTGAAGATGATCCCGTTTCCAGTGAAATCTTCAAAGAGGTCCACATATCCCCTTGCAGATTCCAAAGAAAGAGGGTTTCAAAACTGCTCCATCAGAAGGATTGTTCAACTCTGTGAGTTGAATGCAGTCATCGCAGAAAACTTTCTGAGAATGCTTCTGTCTAGGTTTGATGTGAAGATATAGACGTTTCAAACGAAGGCTACAAAGTGGTCAAAATATACACTTGCAGATTCTACTACAAGGGTGTTGCAAACCTGAACTATCAAAGGAAGGTTCAACTCTGTGAGTTGAATACAAACATCACAAAGAATGTTCTGAGTTTGCTTCCGTTCAGTTATGGGAAGTTGATCCCGTTTCCAACGAAATCCTCAGAGAGGTCCAAATATCCCCTTGCAGATTCTGCAAAACGTGTGTTTGGAAACTGCTCCATCATAACGAATGTTCAGCTCCCTGAGTTAAACTACATCGTCACAAAGAATTTTCTGAGAGTGCTACCGTCTGGTTTTTATATGAAGTTCTTTCCTTCACTACCACAGGCCTCAAAGCGGTCCAAATCTCCACTTGCAGATTCTACAAAAAGAGTGTTTGCAAACTGCTCTATCAAAAGGAATGTTCAACTCTGGGAGTTGAATGCAATCATCACAGAGCAGTTTCTGAGAATGCTTCTATGTCGTTTTTAGGAGAAGATATTTCCTTTTCCAACACAGTCCTCCAAGCCCGCTAAATAGCCACTTGCACATTGTAGAAAAAGTGTGTCAAAGCTGCGCTATCAAAGGGAAAGTTCAACTCTGTGAGGTGAATGCAAACATCCCAAAGAAGTTTCTGAGAATGCTTCCGTTTAGCTTTTAGGTGAAGATTATCCCGTTTCCAACCAAACCTTCAAAGAGGTCCAAATATCCCCTTGCGGATCCCACAGAAAGAGTGTTTCGAAACTGCTGTTTCAAAAGGAATCTTCAACTCTGTGAGTTGAATGCAATCATCACAAAGAAGTTTCTGACAATGCTTCTCTCTCGTCTTTCTGTGAAGATAAAGGAAAAGGCTTTCAGGCCTTTGCCACCACAGGCCTGAAAGCGGTCCAAATGTCCACTTGCAGATTCTGCCAAAAGAATATTTCAAAACTGCTCTATGAAAAGCAATGTTAAACTCTGCGGCTCGAACACAAACATCACAAAGCGGTTTCTGAGAATGCTTCAGTTTAGTTTTTCTGTGGAAATATTCCCGTTTTCAAAGAAATCTTCAAAGAGGTCCACGTATCCACTTACAGATTCTACAAAAAGACAGTTTCAAAACTGCTCCATCAAAAGGAGGGTTCAACTGTGTGACTTGAATGCAATCATCACTCAGAAGTTTCTGAGAATGCTTCTCTTTAGTTTTTACGTGAACATATACCCGTTTCGAACGAAGGCCAGCCAGTGGTCCAAATATCCACTTGCAGATTCTACAGAAAGAGTGTTTCAAACCTGAACTCTCAAAGGCAGGTTCATCTCTGCGAGTTAAATGCATTCATCATGAAGAACTTTCTCAGAGTGTCTGTGTTTAGTTATGGGAAATTATTCCCGTTTCCAACGAAATCCTCAGAGAGCTCCAAATATCCACCTGCAGATTCTACCAAAAGTGTATTTGGAAACTGCTCCATCAAAAGGCATGTTCAGCTCTGTGAGTGAAACTCCATCATCACAAAGAATATTCTGAGAATGCTTCCGTTTGCCTTTTATATGAAGTTCCTTCCTATACGACCGTAGGCCTCAAAGCAGTCCAAATCTCCATTTGCAGATTCTACAAAAAGAGTGATTCCAATCTGCTCTATCAATAGGATTGTTCAACTCCATGAGTTGAATGCCATCCTCACAAAGTCGTTTCTGAGAATGCTTCTATCTAGTTTTTATGTGAAGATATTTCCTTTTCCACCACAGGCCTCAAAGCCCTCCAAACGTCCACTTGCAGATTCTCGAAAAAGAGTGTTTTATAGCTGCTCTTTCAAAAGGAAAGTTCAACTCTGGGAGTTGAATACAAACATCACAAAGTAGTTTCCGAGAATGCTTCTGTTTAGTTTTTATGTGAAGATGATCCCGTTTCCAGTGAAATCTTCAAAGAGGTCCACATATCCCCTTGCAGATTCCAAAGAAAGAGGGTTTCAAAACTGCTCCATCAGAAGGATTGTTCAACTCTGTGAGTTGAATGCAGTCATCGCAGAAAACTTTCTGAGAATGCTTCTGTCTAGGTTTGGTGTGAAGATATAGATGTTTCAAACGAAGGCTACAAAGTGGTCAAAATATACACTTGCAGATTCTACTACAAGGGTGTTGCAAACCTGAACTATCAAAGGAAGGTTCAACTCTGTGAGTTGAATACAAACATCACAAAGAATGTTCTGAGTTTGCTTCCGTTCAGTTATGGGAAGTTGAT
This sequence comes from Homo sapiens, assembly GCF_000001405.40. Classification (NCBI taxonomy): domain Eukaryota; kingdom Metazoa; phylum Chordata; class Mammalia; order Primates; family Hominidae; genus Homo; species Homo sapiens. The sequence continues at coordinate 58,793,513 of NC_000023.11, read as the reverse complement.
CCCGTTTCCAACGAAATCCTCAGAGAGGTCCAAATATCCCCTTGCAGATTCTACAAAACGTGTGTTTGGAAACTGCTCCATCATAACGAATGTTCAGCTCCCTGAGTTAAACTCCATCGTCACAAAGAATTTTCTGAGAGTGCTACCGTCTGGTTTTTATATGAAGTTCTTTCCTTCACTACCACAGGCCTCAAAGCGGTCCAAATCTCCACTTGCAGATTCTACAAAAAGAGTGTTTGCAAACTGCTCTATCAAAAGGAATGTTCAACTCTGGGAGTTGAATGCAATCATCACAGAGCAGTTTCTGAGAATGCTTCTATGTCGTTTTTAGGAGAAGATATTTCCTTTTCCAACACAGTCCTCCAAGCCCGCTAAATAGCCACTTGCACATTGTAGAAAAAGTGTGTCAAAGCTGCGCTATCAAAGGGAAATTTCAACTCTGTGAGGTGAATGCAAACATCCCAAAGAAGTTTCTGAGAATGCTTCCGTTTAGCTTTTAGGTGAAGATTATCCCGTTTCCAACGAAACCTTCAAAGAGGTCCAAATATCCCCTTGCGGATCCCACAGAAAGAGTGTTTCGAAACTGCTGTTTCAAAAGGAATCTTCAACTCTGTGAGTTGAATGCAATCATCACAAAGAAGTTTCTGACAATGCTTCTCTCTCGTCTTTCTGTGAAGATAAAGGAAAAGGCTTTCAGGCCTTTTCCACCACAGGCCTGAAAGCGCTCCAAATGTCCACTTGCAGATTCTGCGAAAAGAATATTTCAAAACTGCTCTATGAAAAGCAATGTTAAACTCTGTGGCTCGAACACAAACATCACAAAGCGGTTTCTGAGAATGCTTCAGTTTAGTTTTTCTGTGGAAATATTCCCGTTTCCAAAGAAATCTTCAAAGAGGTCCACGTATCCACTTACAGATTCTACAAAAAGACAGTTTCAAAACTGCTCCATCAAAAGGAGGGTTCAACTGTGTGACTTGAATGCAATCATCACTCAGAAGTTTCTGAGAATGCTTCTCTTTAGTTTTTACGTGAACATATACCCGTTTCGAACGAAGGCCAACCAGTGGTCCAAATATCCACTTGCAGATTCTACAGAAAGAGTGTTTCGAACCTGAACTCTCAAAGGCAGGTTCATCTCTGCGAGTTAAATGCATTCATCATGAAGAACTTTCTCAGAGTGTTTGTGTTTAGTTATGGGAAATTATTCCCGTTTCCAACGAAATCCTCAGAGAGCTCCAAATATCCACCTGCAGATTCTACCAAAAGTGTATTTGGAAACTGCTCCATCAAAAGGCATGTTCAGCTCTGTGAGTGAAACTCCATCATCACAAAGAATATTCTGAGAATGCTTCCGTTTGCCTTTTATATGAAGTTCCTTCCTATACTACCTTAGGCCTCAAAGCAGTCCAAATCTCCATTTGCAGATTCTACAAAAAGAGTGATTCCAATCTGCTCTATCAATAGGATTGTTCAACTCCATGAGTTGAATGCCATCCTCACAAAGTCGTTTCTGAGAATGCTTCTATCTAGTTTTTATGTGAAGATATTTCCTTTTCCACCACAGGCCTCAAAGCCCTCCAAACGTCCACTTGCAGATTCTCGAAAAAGAGTGTTTCATAGCTGCTCTTTCAAAAGGAAAGTTCAACTCTGGGAGTTGAATACAAACATCACAAAGTAGTTTCCGAGAATGCTTCTGTTTAGTTTTTATGTGAAGATGATCCCGTTTCCAGTGAAATCTTCAAAGAGGTCCACATATCCCCTTGCAGATTCCAAAGAAAGAGGGTTTCAAAACTGCTCCATCAGAAGGATTGTTCAACTCTGTGAGTTGAATGCAGTCATCGCAGAAAACTTTCTGAGAATGCTTCTGTCTAGGTTTGATGTGAAGATATAGACGTTTCAAACGAAGGCTACAAAGTGGTCAAAATATACACTTGCAGATTCTACTACAAGGGTGTTGCAAACCTGAACTATCAAAGGAAGGTTCAACTCTGTGAGTTGAATACAAACATCACAAAGAATGTTCTGAGTTTGCTTCCGTTCAGTTATGGGAAGTTGATCCCGTTTCCAACGAAATCCTCAGAGAGGTCCAAATATCCCCTTGCAGATTCTGCAAAACGTGTGTTTGGAAACTGCTCCATCATAACGAATGTTCAGCTCCCTGAGTTAAACTACATCGTCACAAAGAATTTTCTGAGAGTGCTACCGTCTGGTTTTTATATGAAGTTCTTTCCTTCACTACCACAGGCCTCAAAGCGGTCCAAATCTCCACTTGCAGATTCTACAAAAAGAGTGTTTGCAAACTGCTCTATCAAAAGGAATGTTCAACTCTGGGAGTTGAATGCAATCATCACAGAGCAGTTTCTGAGAATGCTTCTATGTCGTTTTTAGGAGAAGATATTTCCTTTTCCAACACAGTCCTCCAAGCCCGCTAAATAGCCACTTGCACATTGTAGAAAAAGTGTGTCAAAGCTGCGCTATCAAAGGGAAAGTTCAACTCTGTGAGGTGAATGCAAACATCCCAAAGAAGTTTCTGAGAATGCTTCCGTTTAGCTTTTAGGTGAAGATTATCCCGTTTCCAACGAAACCTTCAAAGAGGTCCAAATATCCCCTTGCGGATCCCACAGAAAGAGTGTTTCGAAACTGCTGTTTCAAAAGGAATCTTCAACTCTGTGAGTTGAATGCAATCATCGCAAAGAAGTTTCTGACATGCTTCTCTCTCGTCTTTCTGTGAAGATAATGGAAAAGGCTTTCAGGCCTTTTCCACCACAGGCCTGAAAGCGCTCCAAATGTCCACTTGCAGATTCTGCCAAAAGAATATTTCAAAACTGCTCTATGAAAAGCAATGTTAAACTCTGTGGCTCGAACACAAACATCACAAAGCGGTTTCTGAGAATGCTTCAGTTTAGTTTTTCTGTGGAAATATTCCCGTTTCCAAAGAAATCTTCAAAGAGGTCCACGTATCCACTTACAGATTCTACAAAAAGACAGTTTCAAAACTGCTCCATCAAAAGGAGGGTTCAACTGTGTGACTTGAATGCAATCATCACTCAGAAGTTTCTGAGAATGCTTCTCTTTAGTTTTTACGTGAACATATACCCGTTTCGAACGAAGGCCAGCCAGTGGTCCAAATATCCACTTGCAGATTCTACAGAAAGAGTGTTTCGAACCTGAACTCTCAAAGGCAGGTTCATCTCTGCGAGTTAAATGCATTCATCATGAAGAACTTTCTCAGAGTGTTTGTGTTTAGTTATGGGAAATTATTCCCGTTTCCAACGAAATCCTCAGAGAGCTCCAAATATCCACCTGCAGATTCTACCAAAAGTGTATTTGGAAACTGCTCCATCAAAAGGCATGTTCAGCTCTGTGAGTGAAACTCCATCATCACAAAGAATATTCTGAGAATGCTTCCGTTTACCTTTTATATGAAGTTCCTTCCTATACGACCGTAGGCCTCAAAGCAGTCCAAATCTCCATTTGCAGATTCTACAAAAAGAGTGATTCCAATCTGCTCTATCAATAGGATTGTTCAACTCCATGAGTTGAATGCCATCCTCACAAAGTAGTTTCTGAGAATGCTTCTATCTAGTTTTTATGTGAAGATATTTCCTTTTCCACCACAGGCCTCAAAGCCCTCCAAACGTCCACTTGCAGATTCTCGAAAAAGAGTGTTTCATAGCTGCTCTTTCAAAAGGAAAGTTCAACTCTGGGAGTTGAATACAAACATCACAAAGTAGTTTCCGAGAATGCTTCTGTTTAGTTTTTATGTGAAGATGATCCCGTTTCCAGTGAAATCTTCAAAGAGGTCCACATATCCCCTTGCAGATTGCAAAGAAAGAGGGTTTCAAAACTGCTCCATCAAAAGGATTGTTCAACTCTGTGAGTTGAATGCAGTCATCGCAGAAAACTTTCTGAGAATGCTTCTGTCTAGGTTTGATGTGAAGATATAGACGTTTCAAATGAAGGCTACAAAGTGGTCAAAATATACACTTGCAGATTCTACTACAAGGGTGTTGCAAACCTGAACTATAAAAGGAAGGTTCAACTCTGTGAGTTGAATACAAACATCACAAAGAATGTTCTGAGTTTGCTTCCGTTCAGTTATGGGAAGTTGATCCCGTTTCCAACGAAATCCTCAGAGAGGTCCAAATATCCCCTTGCAGATTCTACAAAACGTGTGTTTGGAAACTGCTCCATCATAACGAATGTTCAGCTCCCTGAGTTAAACTCCATCGTCACAAAGAATTTTCTGAGAGTGCTACCGTCTGGTTTTTATATGAAGTTCTTTCCTTCACTACCACAGGCCTCAAAGCGGTCCAAATCTCCACTTGCAGATTCTACAAAAAGAGTGTTTGCAAACTGCTCTATCAAAAGGAATGTTCAACTCTGGGAGTTGAATGCAATCATCACAGAGCAGTTTCTGAGAATGCTTCTATGTCGTTTTTAGGAGAAGATATTTCCTTTTCCAACACAGTCCTCCAAGTCCGCTAAATAGCCACTTGCACATTGTAGAAAAAGTGTGTCAAAGCTGCGCTATCAAAGGGAAAGTTCAACTCTGTGAGGTGAATGCAAACATCCCTAAGAAGTTTCTGAGAGTGCTTCCGTTTAGCTTTTAGGTGAAGATTATCCCGTTTCCAACGAAACCTTCAAAGAGGTCCAAATATCCCCTTGCGGATCCCACAGAAAGAGTGTTTCGAAACTGCTGTTTCAAAAGGAATCTTCAACTCTGTGAGTTGAATGCAATCATCACAAAGAAGTTTCTGACAATGCTTCTCTCTCGTCTTTCTGTGAAGATAAAGGAAAAGGCTTTCAGGCCTTTTCCACCACAGGCCTGAAAGCGCTCCAAATGTCCACTTGCAGATTCTGCCAAAAGAATATTTCAAAACTGCTCTATGAAAAGCAATGTTAAACTCTGTGGCTGGAACACAAACATCACAAAGCGGTTTCTGAGAATGTTTCAGTTTAGTTTTTCTGTGGAAATATTCCCGTTTCCAAAGAAATCTTCAAAGAGGTCCACGTATCCACTTACAGATTCTACAAAAAGACAGTTTCAAAACTGCTCCATCAAAAGGAGGGTTCAACTGTGTGACTTGAATGCAATCATCACTCAGAAGTTTCTGAGAATGCTTCTCTTTAGTTTTTACGTGAACATATACCCGTTTCGAACGAAGGCCACCCAGTGGTCCAAATATCCACTTGCAGATTATACAGAAAGAGTGTTTCGAACCTGAACTCTCAAAGGCAGGTTCATCTCTGCGAGTTAAATGCATTCATCATGAAGAACTTTCTCAGAGTGTTTGTGTTTAGTTATGGGAAATTATTCCCGTTTCCAATGAAATCCTCAGAGAGCTCCAAATATCCACCTGCAGATTCTACCAAAAGTGTATTTGGAAACTGCTCCATCAACAGGCATGTTCAGCTCTGTGAGTGAAACTCCATCATCACAAAGAACATTCTGAGAATGCTTCCGTTTGCCTTTTATATGAAGTTCCTTCCTATACGACCGTAGGCCTCAAAGCAGTCCAAATCTCCATTTGCAGATTCTACAAAAAGAGTGATTCCAATCTGCTCTATCAATAGGATTGTTCAACTCCCATGAGTTGAATGCCATCCTCACAAAGTAGTTTCTGAGAATGCTTCTATCTGGTTTTTGTGTGAAGATATTTCCTTTTCCACCACAGGCCTCAAAGCCCTCCAAACGTCCACTTGCAGATTCTCGAAAAAGAGTGTTTCATAGCTGCTCTTTCAAAAGGAAAGTTCAACTCTAGGAGTTGAATACAAACATCACAAAGTAGTTTCCGAGAATGCTTCTGTTTAGTTTTTATGTGAAGATGATCCCGTTTCCAGTGAAATCTTCAAAGAGGTCCACATATCCCCTTGCAGATTCCAAAGAAAGAGGGTTTCAAAACTGCTCCATCAGAAGGATTGTTCAACTCTGTGAGTTGAATGCAGTCATCGCAGAAAACTTTCTGAGAATGCTTCTGTCTAGGTTTGATGTGAAGATATAGACGTTTCAAACGAAGGCTACAAAGTGGTCAAAATATACACTTGCAGATTCTACTACAAGGGTGTTGCAAACCTGAACTATCAAAGGAAGGTTCAACTCTGTGAGTTGAATACAAACATCACAAAGAATGTTCTGAGTTTGCTTCCGTTCAGTTATGGGAAGTTGATCCCGTTTCCAACGAAATCCTCAGAGAGGTCCAAATATCCCCTCGCAGATTCTACAAAACGTGTGTTTGGAAACTGCTCCATCATAAAGAATGTTCAGCTCCCTGAGTTAAACTCCATCGTCACAAAGAATTTTCTGAGAGTGCTACCGTCTGGTTTTTATATGAAGTTCTTTCCTTCACTACGACAGGCCTCAAAGCGGTCCAAATCTCCACTTGCAGATTCTACAAAAAGAGTGTTTGCAAACTGCTCTATCAAAAGGAATGTTCAACTCTAGGAGTTGAATGCAATCATCACAGAGCAGTTTCTGAGAATGCTTCTATGTCGTTTTTAGGAGAAGATATTTCCTTTTCCAACACAGTCCTCCAAGCCCGCTAAATAGCCACTTGCACATTGTAGAAAAAGTGTGTCAAAGCTGCGCTATCAAAGGGAAAGTTCAACTCTGTGAGGTGAATGCAAACATCCCAAAGAAGTTTGCTGAGAATGCTTCCGTTTAGCTTTTAGGTGAAGATTATCCCGTTTCCAACGAAACCTTCAAAGTAGGTCCAAATATCCCCTTGCGGATCCCACAGAAAGAGTGTTTCGAAACTGCTGTTTCAAAAGGAATCTTCAACTCTGTGAGTTGAATGCAATCATCACAAAGAAGTTTCTGACAATGCTTCTCTCTCGTCTTTCTGTGAAGATAAAGGAAAAGGCTTTCAGGCCTTTGCCACCACAGGCCTGAAAGCGCTCCAAATGTCCACTTGCAGATTCTGCGAAAAGAATATTTCAAAACTGCTCTATGAAAAGCAATGTTAAACTCTGTGGCTCGAACACAAACATCACAAAGCGGTTTCTGAGAATGCTTCAGTTTAGTTTTTCTGTGGAAATATTCCCGTTTCCAAAGAAATCTTCAAAGAGGTCCACGTATCCACTTACAGATTCTACAAAAAGACAGTTTCAAAACTGCTCCATCAAAAGGAGGGTTCAACCGTGTGACTTGAATGCAATCATCACTCAGAAGTTTCTGAGAATGCTTCTCTTTAGTTTTTACGTGAACATATACCCGTTTCGAACGAAGGCCACCCAGTGGTCCAAATATCCACTTGCAGATTATACAGAAAGAGTGTTTCGAACCTGAACTCTCAAAGGCAGGTTCATCTCTGCGAGTTAAATGCATTCATCATGAAGAACTTTCTCAGAGTGTTTGTGTTTAGTTATGGGAAATTATTCCCGTTTCCAACGAAATCCTCAGAGAGCTCCAAATATCCACCTGCAGATTCTACCAAAAGTGTATTTGGAAACTGCTCCATCAAAAGGCATGTTCAGCTCTGTGAGTGAAACTCCATCATCACAAAGAATATTCTGAGAATGCTTCCGTTTGTCTTTTATATGAAGTTCCTTCCTGTACTACCGTAGGCCTCAAAGCAGTCCAAATCTCCATTTGCAGATTCTATAAAAAGAGTGATTCCAATCTGCTCTATCAATAGGATTGTTCAACTCCATGAGTTGAATGCCATCCTCACAAAGTAGTTTCTGAGAATGCTTCTATCTGGTTTTTGTGTGAAGATATTTCCTTTTCCACCACAGGCCTCAAAGCCCTCCAAACGTCCACTTGCAGATTCTCGAAAAAGAGTGTTTCATAGCTGCTCTTTCAAAAGGAAAGTTCAACTCTGGGAGTTGAATACAAACATCACAAAGTAGTTTCCGAGAATGCTTCTGTTTAGTTTTTATGTGAAGATGATCCCGTTTCCAGTGAAATCTTCAAAGAGGTCCACATATCCCCTTGCAGATTCCAAAGAAAGAGGGTTTCAAAACTGCTCCATCAGAAGGATTGTTCAACTCTGTGAGTTGAATGCAGTCATCGCAGAAAACTTTCTGAGAATGCTTCTGTCTAGGTTTGATGTGAAGATATAGATGTTTCAAACGAAGGCTACAAAGTGGTCAAAATATACACTTTCAGATTCTACTACAAGGGTGTTGCAAACCTGAACTATCAAAGGAAGGTTCAACTCTGTGAGTTGAATACAAACATCACAAAGAATGTTCTGAGTTTGCTTCCGTTCAGTTATGGGAAGTTGATCCCGTTTCCAACGAAATCCTCAGAGAGGTCCAAATATCCCCTTGCAGATTCTACAAAACGTGTGTTTGGAAACTGCTCCATCATAACGAATGTTCAGCTCCCTGAGTTAAACTCCATCGTCACAAAGAATTTTCTGAGAGTGCTACCGTCTGGTTTTTATATGAAGTTCTTTCCTTCACTACCACAGGCCTCAAAGCGGTCCAAATCTCCACTTGCAGATTCTACAAAAAGAGTGTTTGCAAACTGCTCTATCAAAAGGAATGTTCAACTCTGGGAGTTGAATGCAATCATCACAGAGCAGTTTCTGAGAATGCTTCTATGTCGTTTTTAGGAGAAGATATTTCCTTTTCCAACACAGTCCTCCAAGCCCGCTAAATAGCCACTTGCACATTGTAGAAAAAGTGTGTCAAAGCTGCGCTATCAAAGGGAAAGTTCAACTCTGTGAGGTGAATGCAAACATCCCAAAGAAGTTTCTGAGAATGCTTCCGTTTAGCTTTTAGGTGAAGATTATCCCGTTTCCAACGAAACCTTCAAAGAGGTCCAAATATCCCCTTGTGGATCCCACAGAAAGAGTGTTTCGAAACTGCTGTTTCAAAAGGAATCTTCAACTCTGTGAGTTGAATGCAATCATCACAAAGAAGTTTCTGACAATGCTTCTCTCTCGTCTTTCTGTGAAGATAAAGGAAAAGGCTTTCAGGCCTTTTCCACCACAGGCCTGAAAGCGCTCCAAATGTCCACTTGCAGATTCTGCCAAAAGAATATTTCAAAACTGCTCTATGAAAAGCAATGTTAAACTCTGTGGCTCGAACACAAACATCACAAAGCAGTTTCTGAGAATGCTTCAGTTTAGATTTTCTGTGGAAATACTCCCGTTTCCAAAGAAATCTTCAAAGAGGTCCACGTATCCACTTACAGATTCTACAAAAAGACAGTTTCAAAACTGCTCCATCAAAAGGAGGGTTCAACTGTGTGACTTGAATGCAATCATCACTCAGAAGTTTCTGAGAATGCTTCTCTTTAGTTTTTACGTGAACATATACCCGTTTCGAACGAAGGCCACCCAGTGGTCCAAATATCCACTTGCAGATTCTACAGAAAGAGTGTTTCGAACCTGAACTCTCAAAGGCAGGTTCATCTCTGCGAGTTAAATGCATTCATCATGAAGAACTTTCTCAGAGTGTTTGTGTTTAGTTATGGGAAATTATTCCCGTTTCCAACGAAATCCTCAGAGAGCTCCAAATATCCACCTGCAGATTCTACCAAAAGTGTATTTGGAAACTGCTCCATCAAAAGGCATGTTCAGCTCTGTGAGTGAAACTCCATCATCACAAAGAATATTCTGAGAATGCTTCCGTTTGCCTTTTATCTGAAGTTCCTTCCTATACGACCGTAGGCCTCAAAGCAGTCCAAATCTCCATTTGCAGATTCTACAAAAAGAGTGATTCCAATCTGCTCTATCAATAGGATTGTTCAACTCCATGAGTTGAATGCCATCCTCACAAAGTCGTTTCTGAGAATGCTTCTATCTGGTTTTTGTGTGAAGATATTTCCTTTTCCACCACAGGCCTCAAAGCCCTCCAAACGTCCACTTGCAGATTCTCGAAAAAGAGTGTTTCATAGCTGCTCTTTCAAAAGGAAAGTTCAACTCTGGGAGTTGAATACAAACATCACAAAATAGTTTCCGAGAATGCTTCTGTTTAGTTTTTATGTGAAGATGATCCCGTTTCCAGTGAAATCTTCAAAGAGGTCCACATATCCCCTTGCAGATTCCAAAGAAAGAGGGTTTCAAAACTGCTCCATCAGAAGGATTGTTCAACTCTGTGAGTTGAATGCAGTCATCGCAGAAAACTTTCTGAGAATGCTTCTGTCTAGGTTTGATGTGAAGATATAGACGTTTCAAACGAAGGCTACAAAGTGGTCAAAATATACACTTGCAGATTCTACTACAAGGGTGTTGCAAACCTGAACTATCAAAGGAAGGTTCAACTCTGTGAGTTGAATACAAACATCACAAAGAATGTTCTGAGTTTGCTTCCGTTCAGTTATGGGAAGTTGATCCCGTTTCCAACGAAATCCTCAGAGAGGTCCAAATATCCCCTCGCAGATTCTACAAAACGTGTGTTTGGAAACTGCTCCATCATAACGAATGTTCAGCTCCCTGAGTTAAACTCCATCGTCACAAAGAATTTTCTGAGAGTGCTACCGTCTGGTTTTTATATGAAGTTCTTTCCTTCACTACCACAGGCCTCAAAGCGGTCCAAATCTCCACTTGCAGATTCTACAAAAAGAGTGTTTGCAAACTGCTCTATCAAAAGGAATGTTCAACTCTGGGAGTTGAATGCAATCATCACAGAGCAGTTTCTGAGAATGCTTCTATGTCGTTTTTAGGAGAAGATATTTCCTTTTCCAACACAGTCCTCCAAGCCCGCTAAATAGCCACTTGCACATTGTAGAAAAAGTGTGTCAAAGCTGCGCTATCAAAGGGAAAGTTCAACTCTGTGAGGTGAATGCAAACATCCCAAAGAAGTTTCTGAGAATGCTTCCGTTTAGCTTTTAGGTGAAGATTATCCCGTTTCCAACGAAACCTTCAAAGAGGTCCAAATATCCCCTTGCGGATCCCACAGAAAGAGTGTTTCGAAACTGCTGTTTCAAAAGGAATCTTCAACTCTGTGAGTTGAATGCAATCATCACAAAGAAGTTTCTGACAATGCTTCTCTCTCGTCTTCCTGTGAAGATAAAGGAAAAGGCTTTCAGGCCTTTTCCACCACAGGCCTGAAAGCGCTCCAAATGTCCACTTGCAGATTCTGCCAAAAGAATATTTCAAAACTGCTCTATGAAAAGCAATGTTAAACTCTGTGGCTCGAACACAAACATCACAAAGCAGTTTCTGAGAATGCTTCAGTTTAGTTTTTCTGTGGAAATATTCCCGTTTCGAAAGAAATCTTCAAAGAGGTCCACGTATCCACTTACAGATTCTACAAAAAGACAGTTTCAAAACTGCTCCATCAAAAGGAGGGTTCAACTGTGTGACTTGAATGCAATCATCACTCAGAAGTTTCTGAGAATGCTTCTCTTTAGTTTTTACGTGAACATATACCCGTTTCGAACGAAGGCCACCCAGTGGTCCAAATATCCACTTGCAGATTCTACAGAAAGAGTGTTTCGAACCTGAACTCTCAAAGGCAGGTTCATCTCTGCGAGTTAAATGCATTCATCATGAAGAACTTTCTCAGAGTGTTTGTGTTTAGTTATGGGAAATTATTCCCGTTTCCAACGAAATCCTCAGAGAGCTCCAAATATCCACCTGCAGATTCTACCAAAAGTGTATTTGGAAACTGCTCCATCAAAAGGCATGTTCAGCTCTGTGAGTGAAACTCCATCATCACAAAGAATATTCTGAGAATGCTTCCGTTTGCCGTTTATATGAAGTTCCTTCCTATACTACCGTAGGCCTCAAAGCAGTCCAAATCTCCATTTGCAGATTCTACAAAAAGAGTGATTCCAATCTGCTCTATCAATAGGATTGTTCAACTCCATGTGTTGAATGCCATCCTCAATGTCGTTTCTGAGAATGCTTCTATCTAGTTTTTATGTGAAGATATTTCCTTTTCCACCACAGGCCTCAAAGCCCTCCAAACGTCCACTTTCAGATTCTCGAAAAAGAGTGTTTCATAGCTGCTCTTTCAAAAGGAAAGTTCAACTCTGGGAGTTGAATACAAACATCACAAAGTAGTTTCCGAGAATGCTTCTGTTTAGTTTTTATGTGAAGATGATCCCGTTTCCAGTGAAATCTTCAAAGAGGTCCACATATCCCCTTGCAGATTCCAAAGAAAGAGGGTTTCAAAACTGCTCCATCAGAAGGATTGTTCAACTCTGTGAGTTGAATGCAGTCATCGCAGAAAACTTTCTGAGAATGCTTCTGTCTAGGTTTGACGTGAAGATATAGACGTTTCAAACGAAGGCTACAAAGTGGTCAAAATATACACTTGCAGATTCTACTACAAGGGTGTTGCAAACCTGAACTATCAAAGGAAGGTTCAACTCTGTGAGTTGAATACAAACATCACAAAGAATGTTCTGAGTTTGCTTCCGTTCAGTTATGGGAAGTTGATCCCGTTTCCAACGAAATCCTCAGAGAGGTCCAAATATCCCCTCGCAGATTCTACAAAACGTGTGTTTGGAAACTGCTCCATCATAACGAATGTTCAGCTCCCTGAGTTAAACTCCATCGTCACAAAGAATTTTCTGAGAGTGCTACCGTCTGGTTTTTATATGAAGTTCTTTCCTTCACTACCACAGGCCTCAAAGCGGTCCAAATCTCCACTTGCAGATTCTACAAAAAGAGTGTTTGCAAACTGCTCTATCAAAAGGAATGTTCAACTCTGGGAGTTGAATGCAATCATCACAGAGCAGTTTCTGAGAATGCTTCTATGTCGTTTTTAGGAGAAGATATTTCCTTTTCCAACACAGTCCTCCAAGTCCGCTAAATAGCCACTTGCACATTGTAGAAAAAGTGTGTCAAAGCTGCGCTATCAAAGGGAAAGTTCAACTCTGTGAGGTGAATGCAAACATCCCAAAGAAGTTTCTGAGAATGCTTCCGTTTAGCTTTTAGGTGAAGATTATCCCGTTTCCAACGAAACCTTCAAAGAGGTCCAAATATCCCCTTGCGGATCCCACAGAAAGAGTGTTTCGAAACTGCTGTTTCAAAAGGAATCTTCAACTCTGTGAGTTGAATGCAATCATCACAAAGAAGTTTCTGACAATGCTTCTCTCTCGTCTTTCTGTGAAGATAAAGGAAAAGGCTTTCAGGCCTTTTCCACCACAGGCCTGAAAGCGCTCCAAATGTCCACTTGCAGATTCTGCGAAAAGAATATTTCAAAACTGCTCTATGAAAAGCAATGTTAAACTCTGTGGCTCGAACACAAACATCACAAAGCGGTTTCTGAGAATGCTTCAGTTTAGTTTTTCTGTGGAAATATTCCCGTTTCCAAAGAAATCTTCAAAGAGGTCCACGTATCCACTTACAGATTCTACAAAAAGACAGTTTCAAAACTGCTCCATCAAAAGGAGGGTTCAACTGTGTGACTTGAATGCAATCATCACTCACAAGTTTCTGAGAATGCTTCTCTTTAGTTTTTACGTGAACATATACCCGTTTCGAACGAAGGCCAGCCAGTGGTCCAAATATCCACTTGCAGATTCTACAGAAAGAGTGTTTCGAACCTGAACTCTCAAAGGCAGGTTCATCTCTGCGAGTTAAATGCATTCATCATGAAGAACTTTCTCAGAGTGTTTGTGTTTAGTTATGGGAAATTATTCCCGTTTCCAACGAAATCCTCAGAGAGCTCCAAATATCCACCTGCAGATTCTACCAAAAGTGTATTTGGAAACTGCTCCATCAAAAGGCATGTTCAGCTCTGTGAGTGAAACTCCATCATCACAAAGAATATTCTGAGAATGCTTCCGTTTGCCTTTTATATGAAGTTCCTTCCTGTACTACCGTAGGCCTCAAAGCAGTCCAAATCTCCATTTGCAGATTCTATAAAAAGAGTGATTCCAATCTGCTCTATCAATAGGATTGTTCAACTCCATGAGTTGAATGCCATCCTCACAAAGTAGTTTCTGAGAATGCTTCTATCTGGTTTTTGTGTGAAGATATTTCCTTTTCCACCACAGGCCTCAAAGCCCTCCAAACGTCCACTTGCAGATTCTCGAAAAAGAGTGTTTCATAGCTGCTCTTTCAAAAGGAAAGTTCAACTCTGGGAGTTGAATACAAACATCACAAAATAGTTTCCGAGAATGCTTCTGTTTAGTTTTTATGTGAAGATGACCCCGTTTCCAGTGAAATCATCAAAGAGGTCCACATATCCCCTTGCAGATTCCAAAGAAAGAGGGTTTCAAAACTGCTCCATCAGAAGGATTGTTCAACTCTGTGAGTTGAATGCAGTCATCGCAGAAAACTTTCTGAGAATGCTTCTTTCTAGGTTTGATGTGAAGATATAGACGTTTCAAACGAAGGCTACAAAGTGGTCAAAATATACACTTGCAGATTCTACTACAAGGGTGTTGCAAACCTGAACTATCAAAGGAAGGTTCAACTCTGTGAGTTGAATACAAACATCACAAAGAATGTTCTGAGTTTGCTTCCGTTCAGTTATGGGAAGTTGATCCCGTTTCCAACGAAATCCTCAGAGAGGTCCAAATATCCCCTCGCAGATTCTACAAAACGTGTGTTTGGAAACTGCTCCATCATAACGAATGTTCAGCTCCCTGAGTTAAACTCCATCGTCACAAAGAATTTTCTGAGAGTGCTACCGTCTGGTTTTTATATGAAGTTCTTTCCTTCACTACCACAGGCCTCAAAGCGGTCCAAATCTCCACTTGCAGATTCTACAAAAAGAGTGTTTGCAAACTGCTCTATCAAAAGGAATGTTCAACTCTGGGAGTTGAATGCAATCATCACAGAGCAGTTTCTGAGAATGCTTCTATGTCGTTTTTAGGAGAAGATATTTCCTTTTCCAACACAGTCCTCCAAGCCCGCTAAATAGCCACTTGCACATTGTAGAAAAAGTGTGTCAAAGCTGCGCTATCAAAGGGAAAGTTCAACTCTGTGAGGTGAATGCAAACATCCCAAAGAAGTTTCTGAGAATGCTTCCGTTTAGCTTTTAGGTGAAGATTATCCCGTTTCCAACGAAACCTTCAAAGAGGTCCAAATATCCCCTTGCGGATCCCACAGAAAGAGTGTTTCGAAACTGCTGTTTCAAAAGGAATCTTCAACTCTGTGAGTTGAATGCAATCATCACAAAGAAGTTTCTGACAATGCTTCTCTCTCGTCTTTCTGTGAAGATAAAGGAAAAGGCTTTCAGGCCTTTTCCACCACAGGCCTGAAAGCGCTCCAAATGTCCACTTGCAGATTCTGCGAAAAGAATATTTCAAAACTGATCTATGAAAAGCAATGTTAAACTCTGTGGCTCGAACACAAACATCACAAAGCAGTTTCTGAGAATGCTTCAGTTTAGTTTTTCTGTGGAAATATTCCCGTTTCCAAAGAAATCTTCAAAGAGGTCCACGTATCCACTTACAGATTCTACAAAAAGACAGTTTCAAAACTGCTCCATCAAAAGGAGGGTTCAACTGTGTGACTTGAATGCAATCATCACTCAGAAGTTTCTGAGAATGCTTCTCTTTAGTTTTTACGTGAACATATACCCGTTTCGAACGAAGGCCACCCAGTGGTCCAAATATCCACTTGCAGATTCTACAGAAAGAGTGTTTCGAACCTGAACTCCCAAAGGCAGGTTCATCTCTGCGAGTTAAATGCATTCATCATGAAGAACTTTCTCAGAGTGTTTGTGTTTAGTTATGGGAAATTATTCCCGTTTCCAAAGAAATCCTCAGAGAGCTCCAAATATCCACCTGCAGATTCTACCAAAAGTGTATTTGGAAACTGCTCCATCAAAAGGCATGTTCAGCTCTGTGAGTGAAACTCCATCATCACAAAGAATATTCTGAGAATGCTTCCGTTTGCCTTTTATCTGAAGTTCCTTCCTATACGACCGTAGGCCTCAAAGCAGTCCAAATCTCCATTTGCAGATTCTACAAAAAGAGTGATTCCAATCTGCTCTATCAATAGGATTGTTCAACTCCATGAGTTGAATGCCATCCTCACAAAGTCGTTTCTGAGAATGCTTCTATCTAGTTTTTATGTGAAGATATTTCCTTTTCCACCACAGGCCTCAAAGCCCTCCAAACGTCCACTTGCAGATTCTCGAAAAAGAGTGTTTCATAGCTGCTCTTTCAAAAGGAAAGTTCAACTCTGGGAGTTGAATACAAACATCACAAAGTAGTTTCCGAGAATGCTTCTGTTTAGTTTTTATGTGAAGATGATCCCGTTTCCAGTGAAATCTTCAAAGAGGTCCACATATCCCCTTGCAGATTCCAAAGAAAGAGGGTTTCAAAACTGCTCCATCAGAAGGATTGTTCAACTCTGTGAGTTGAATGCAGTCATCGCAGAAAACTTTCTGAGAATGCTTCTGTCTAGGTTTGATGTGAAGATATAGACGTTTCAAACGAAGGCTACAAAGTGGTCAAAATATACACTTGCAGATTCTACTACAAGGGTGTTGCAAACCTGAACTATCAAAGGAAGGTTCAACTCTGTGAGTTGAATACAAACATCACAAAGAATGTTCTGAGTTTGCTTCCGTTCAGTTATGGGAAGTTGATCCCGTTTCCAACGAAATCCTCAGAGAGGTCCAAATATCCCCTTGCAGATTCTACAAAACGTGTGTTTGGAAACTGCTCCATCATAACGAATGTTCAGCTCCCTGAGTTAAACTCCATCGTCACAAAGAATTTTCTGAGAGTGCTACCGTCTGGTTTTTATATGAAGCTCTTTTCTTCACTACCACAGGCCTCAAAGCGGTCCAAATCTCCACTTGCAGATTCTACAAAAAGAGTGTTTGCAAACTGCTCTATCAAAAGGAATGTTCAACCCTGGGAGTTGAATGCAATCATCACAGAGCAGTTTCTGAGAATGCTTCTATGTCGTTTTTAGGAGAAGATATTACCTTTTCCAACACAGTCCTCCAAGCCCGCTAAATAGCCACTTGCACATTGTAGAAAAAGTGTGTCAAAGCTGCGCTATCAAAGGGAAAGTTCAACTCTGTGAGGTGAATGCAAACATCCCAAAGAAGTTTCTGAGAATGCTTCCGTTTAGCTTTTAGGTTAAGATTATCCCGTTTCCAACGAAACCTTCAAAGAGGTCCAAATATCCCCTTGCGGATCCCACAGAAAGAGTGTTTCGAAACTGCTGTTTCAAAAGGAATCTTCAACTCTGTGAGTTGAATGCAATCATCACAAAGAAGTTTCTGACAATGCTTCTCTCTCGTCTTTCTGTGAAGGTAAAGGAAAAGGCTTTCAGGCCTTTTCCACCACAGGCCTGAAAGCGCTCCAAATGTCCACTTGCAGATTCTGCCAAAAGAATATTTCAAAACTGCTCTATGAAAAGCAATGTTAAACTCTGTGGCTCGAACACAAACATCACAAAGCGGTTTCTGAGAATGCTTCAGTTTAGTTTTTCTGTGGAAATATTCCCGTTTCCAAAGAAATCTTCAAAGAGGTCCACGTATCCACTTACAGATTCTACAAAAAGACAGTTTCAAAACTGCTCCATCAAAAGGAGGGTTCAACTGTGTGACTTGAATGCAATCATCACTCAGAAGTTTCTGAGAATGCTTCTCTTTAGTTTTTACGTGAACATATACCCGTTTCGAACGAAGGCCAGCCAGTGGTCCAAATATCCACTTGCAGATTCTACAGAAATAGTGTTTCGAACATGAACTCTCAAAGGCAGGTTCATCTCTGCGAGTTGAATGCATTCATCATGAAGAACTTTCTCAGAGTGTTTGTGTTTAGTTATGGGAAATTATTCCCGTTTCCAACGAAATCCTCAGAGAGCTCCAAATATCCACCTGCAGATTCTACCAAAAGTGTATTTGGAAACTGCTCCATCAAAAGGCATGTTCAGCTCTGTGAGTGAAACTCCATCATCACAAAGAATATTCTGAGAATGCTTCCGTTTGCCTTTTATATGAAGTTCCTTCCTGTACTACCGTAGGCCTCAAAGCAGTCCAAATCTCCATTTGCAGATTCTACAAAAAGAGTGATTCCAATCTGCTCTATCAATAGGATTGTTCAACTCCATGAGTTGAATGCCATCCTCACAAAGTAGTTTCTGAGAATGCTTCTATCTGGTTTTTGTGTGAAGATATTTCCTTTTCCACCACAGGCCTCAAAGCCCTCCAAACGTCCACTTGCAGATTCTCGAAAAAGAGTGTTTCATAGCTGCTCTTTCAAAAGGAAAGTTCAACTCTGGGAGTTGAATACAAACATCACAAAATAGTTTCCGAGAATGCTTCTGTTTAGTTTTTATGTGAAGATGATCCCGTTTCCAGTGAAATCTTCAAAGAGGTCCACATATCCCCTTGCAGATTCCAAAGAAAGAGGGTTTCAAAACTGCTCCATCAGAAGGATTGTTCAACTCTGTGAGTTGAATGCAGTCATCGCAGAAAACTTTCTGAGAATGCTTCTGTCTAGTTTTGATGTGAAGATATAGACGTTTCAAACGAAGGCTACAAAGTGGTCAAAATATACACTTGCAGATTCTACTACAAGGGTGTTGCAAACCTGAACTATCAAAGGAAGGTTCAACTCTGTGAGTTGAATACAAACATCACAAAGAATGTTCTGAGTTTGCTTCCGTTCAGTTATGGGAAGTTGATCCCGTTTCCAACGAAATCCTCAGAGAGGTCCAAATATCCCCTTGCAGATTCTACAAAACGTGTGTTTGGAAACTGCTCCATCATAACGAATGTTCAGCTCCCTGAGTTAAACTCCATCGTCACAAAGAATTTTCTGAGAGTGCTACCGTCTGGTTTTTATATGAAGTTCTTTCCTTCACTACCACAGGCCTCAAAGCGGTCCAAATCTCCACTTGCAGATTCTACAAAAAGAGTGTTTGCAAACTGCTCTATCAAAAGGAATGTTCAACTCTGGGAGTTGAATGCAATCATCACAGAGCAGTTTCTGAGAATGCTTCTATGTCGTTTTTAGGAGAAGATATTTCCTTTTCCAACACAGTCCTCCAAGCCCGCTAAATAGCCACTTGCACATTGTAGAAAAAGTGTGTCAAAGCTGCGCTATCAAAGGGAAAGTTCAACTCTGTGAGGTGAATGCAAACATCCCAAAGAAGTTTCTGAGAATGCTTCCGTTTAGCTTTTAGGTGAAGATTATCCCGTTTCCAACGAAACCTTCAAAGAGGTCCAAATATCCCCTTGCGGATCCCACAGAAAGAGTGTTTCGAAACTGCTGTTTCAAAAGGAATCTTCAACTCTGTGAGTTGAATGCAATCATCAAAAAGAAGTTTCTGACAATGCTTCTCTCTCGTCTTTCTGTGAAGATAAAGGAAAAGGCTTTCAGGCCTTTGCCACCACAGGCCTGAAAGCGCTCCAAATGTCCACTTGCAGATTCTGCGAAAAGAATATTTCAAAACTGCTCTATGAAAAGCAATGTTAAACTCTGTGGCTCGAACACAAACATCACAAAGCGGTTTCTGAGAATGCTTCAGTTTAGTTTTTCTGTGGAAATATTCCCGTTTCCAAAGAAATCTTCAAAGAGGTCCACGTATCCACTTACAGATTCTACAAAAAGACAGTTTCAAAACTGCTCCATCAAAAGGAGGGTTCAACTGTGTGACTTGAATGCAATCATCACTCAGAAGTTTCTGAGAATGCTTCTCTTTAGTTTTTACGTGAACATATACCCGTTTCGAACGAAGGCCACCCAGTGGTCCAAATATCCACTTGCAGATTCTACAGAAAGAGTGTTTCGAACCTGAACTCTCAAAGGCAGGTTCATCTCTGCGAGTTAAAAGCATTCATCATGAAGAACTTTCTCAGAGTGTTTGTGTTTAGTTATGGGAAATTATTCCCGTTTCCAACGAAATCCTCAGAGAGCTCCAAATATCCACCTGCAGATTCTACCAAAAGTGTATTTGGAAACTGCTCCATCAAAAGGCATGTTCAGCTCTGTGAGTGAAACTCCATCATCACAAAGAATATTCTGAGAATGCTTCCGTTTGCCTTTTATATGAAGTTCCTTCCTGTACTACCGTAGGCCTCAAAGCAGTCCAAATCTCCATTTGCAGATTCTATAAAAAGAGTGATTCCAATCTGCTCTATCAATAGGATTGTTCAACTCCATGAGTTGAATGCCATCCTCACAAAGTAGTTTCTGAGAATGCTTCTATCTGGTTTTTGTGTGAAGATATTTCCTTTTCCACCACAGGCCTCAAAGCCCTCCAAACGTCCACTTGCAGATTCTCGAAAAAGAGTGTTTCATAGCTGCTCTTTCAAAAGGAAAGTTCAACTCTGGGAGTTGAATACAAACATCACAAAATAGTTTCCGAGAATGCTTCTGTTTAGTTTTTATGTGAAGATGATCCCGTTTCCAGTGAAATCTTCAAAGAGGTCCACATATCCCCTTGCAGATTCCAAAGAAAGAGGGTTTCAAAACTGCTCCATCAGAGGATTGTTCAACTCTGTGAGTTGAATGCAGTCATCGCAGAAAACTTTCTGAGAATGCTTCTGTCTAGGTTTGATGTGAAGATATAGACGTTTCAAACGAAGGCTACAAAGTGGTCAAAATATACACTTGCAGATTCTACTACAAGGGTGTTGCAAACCTGAACTATCAAAGGAAGGTTCAACTCTGTGAGTTGAATACAAACATCACAAAGAATGTTCTGAGTTTGCTTCCGTTCAGTTATGGGAAGTTGATCCCGTTTCCAACGAAATCCTCAGAGAGGTCCAAATATCCCCTCGCAGATTCTACAAAACGTGTGTTTGGAAACTGCTCCATCATAACGAATGTTCAGCTCCCTGAGTTAAACTCCATCGTCACAAAGAATTTTCTGAGAGTGCTACCGTCTGGTTTTTATATGAAGTTCTTTCCTTCACTACCACAGGCCTCAAAGCGGTCCAAATCTCCACTTGCAGATTCTACAAAAAGAGTGTTTGCAAACTGCTCTATCAAAAGGAATGTTCAACTCTGGGAGTTGAATGCAATCATCACAGAGCAGTTTCTGAGAATGCTTCTATGTCGTTTTTAGGAGAAGATATTTCCTTTTCCAACACAGTCCTCCAAGCCCGCTAAATAGCCACTTGCACATTGTAGAAAAAGTGTGTCAAAGCTGCGCTATCAAAGGGAAAGTTCAACTCTGTGAGGTGAATGCAAACATCCCAAAGAAGTTTCTGAGAATGCTTCCGTTTAGCTTTTAGGTGAAGATTATCCCGTTTCCAACGAAACCTTCAAAGAGGTCCAAATATCCCCTTGCGGATCCCACAGAAAGAGTGTTTCGAAACTGCTGTTTCAAAAGGAATCTTCAACTCTGTGAGTTGAATGCAATCATCACAAAGAAGTTTCTGACAATGCTTCTCTCTCGTCTTTCTGTGAAGATAAAGGAAAAGGCTTTCAGGCCTTTTCCAACCACAGGCCTGAAAGCGCTCCAAATGTCCACTTGCAGATTCTGCGAAAAGAATATTTCAAAACTGCTCTATGAAAAGCAATGTTAAACTCTGTGGCTCGAACACAAACATCACAAAGCAGTTTCTGAGAATGCTTCAGTTTAGTTTTTCTGTGGAAATATTCCCGTTTCCAAAGAAATCTTCAAAGAGGTCCACGTATCCACTTACAGATTCTACAAAAAGACAGTTTCAAAACTGCTCCATCAAAAGGAGGGTTCAACTGTGTGACTTGAATGCAATCATCACTCAGAAGTTTCTGAGAATGCTTCTCTTTAGTTTTTACGTGAACATATACCCGTTTCGAACGAAGGCCAGCCAGTGGTCCAAATATCCACTTGCAGATTCTACAGAAAGAGTGTTTCGAACCTGAACTCTCAAAGGCAGGTTCATCTCTGCGAGTTAAATGCATTCATCATGAAGAACTTTCTCAGAGTGTTTGTGTTTAGTTATGGGAAATTATTCCCGTTTCCAACGAAATCCTCAGAGAGCTCCAAATATCCACCTGCAGATTCTACCAAAAGTGTATTTGGAAACTGCTCCATCAAAAGGCATGTTCAGCTCTGTGAGTGAAACTCCATCATCACAAAGAATATTCTGAGAATGCTTCCGTTTGCCTTTTATATGAAGTTCCTTCCTGTACTACCGTAGGCCTCAAAGCAGTCCAAATCTCCATTTGCAGATTCTACAAAAAGAGTGATTCCAATCTGCTCTATCAATAGGATTGTTCAACTCCATGAGTTGAATGCCATCCTCACAAAGTAGTTTCTGAGAATGCTTCTATCTAGTTTTTATGTGAAGATATTTCCTTTTCCACCACAGGCCTCAAAGCCCTCCAAACGTCCACTTGCAGATTCTCGAAAAAGAGTGTTTCATAGCTGCTCTTTCAAAAGGAAAGTTCAACTCTGGGAGTTGAATACAAACATCACAAAGTAGTTTCCGAGAATGCTTCTGTTTAGTTTTTATGTGAAGATGATCCCGTTTCCAGTGAAATCTTCAAAGAGGTCCACATATCCCCTTGCAGATTCCAAAGAAAGAGGGTTTCAAAACTGCTCCATCAGAAGGATTGTTCAACTCTGTGAGTTGAATGCAGTCATCGCAGAAAACTTTCTGAGAATGCTTCTGTCTAGGTTTGATGTGAAGATATAGACGTTTCAAACGAAGGCTACAAAGTGGTCAAAATATACACTTGCAGATTCTACTACAAGGGTGTTGCAAACCTGAACTATCAAAGGAAGGTTCAACTCTGTGGGTTGAATACAAACATCACAAAGAATGTTCTGAGTTTGCTTCCGTTCAGTTATGGGAAGTTGATCCCGTTTCCAACGAAATCCTCAGAGAGGTCCAAATATCCCCTTGCAGATTCTACAAAACGTGTGTTTGGAAACTGCTCCATCATAACGAATGTTCAGCTCCCTGAGTTAAACTCCATCGTCACAAAGAATTTTCTGAGAGTGCTACCGTCTGGTTTTTATATGAAGTTCTTTCCTTCACTACCACAGGCCTCAAAGCGGTCCAAATCTCCACTTGCAGATTCTACAAAAAGAGTGTTTGCAAACTGCTCTATCAAAAGGAATGTTCAACTCTGGGAGTTGAATGCAATCATCACAGAGCAGTTTCTGAGAATGCTTCTATGTCGTTTTTAGGAGAAGATATTTCCTTTTCCAACACAGTCCTCCAAGCCCGCTAAATAGCCACTTGCACATTGTAGAAACAGTGTGTCAAAGCTGCGCTATCAAAGGGAAAGTTCAACTCTGTGAGGTGAATGCAAACATCCCAAAGAAGTTTCTGAGAATGCTTCCGTTTAGCTTTTAGGTGAAGATTATCCCGTTTCCAACGAAACCTTCAAAGAGGTCCAAATATCCCCTTGCGGATCCCACAGAAAGAGTGTTTCGAAACTGCTGTTTCAAAAGGAATCTTCAACTCTGTGAGTTGAATGCAATCATCACAAAGAAGTTTCTGACAATGCTTCTCTCTCGTCTTTCTGAGAAGATAAAGGAAAAGGCTTTCAGGCCTTTTCCACCACAGGCCTGAAAGCGCTCCAAATGTCCACTTGCAGATTCTGCGAAAAGAATATTTCAAAACTGCTCTATGAAAAGCAATGTTAAACTCTGTGGCTCGAACACAAACATCACAAAGCGGTTTCTGAGAATGCTTCAGTTTAGTTTTTCTGTGGAAATATTCCCGTTTCCAAAGAAATCTTCAAAGAGGTCCACGTATCCACTTACAGATTCTACAAAAAGACAGTTTCAAAACTGCTCCATCAAAAGGAGGGTTCAACCGTGTGACTTGAATGCAATCATCACTCAGAAGTTTCTGAGAATGCTTCTCTTTAGTTTTTACGTGAACATATACCCGTTTCGAACGAAGGCCACCCAGTGGTCCAAATATCCACTTGCAGATTATACAGAAAGAGTGTTTCGAACCTGAACTCTCAAAGGCAGGTTCATCTCTGCGAGTTAAATGCATTCATCATGAAGAACTTTCTCAGAGTGTTTGTGTTTAGTTATGGGAAATTATTCCCGTATCCAACGAAATCCTCAGAGAGCTCCAAATATCCACCTGCAGATTCTACCAAAAGTGTATTTGGAAACTGCTCCATCAAAAGGCATGTTCAGCTCTGTGAGTGAAACTCCATCATCACAAAGAATATTCTGAGAATGCTTCCGTTTGCCTTTTATATGAAGTTCCTTCCTGTACTACCGTAGGCCTCAAAGCAGTCCAAATCTCCATTTGCAGATTCTACAAAAAGAGTGATTCCAATCTGCTCTATCAATAGGATTGTTCAACTCCATGAGTTGAATGCCATCCTCACAAAGCAGTTTCTGAGAATGCTTCTATCTGGTTTTTGTGTGAAGATATTTCCTTTTCCACCACAGGCCTCAAAGCCCTCCAAACGTCCACTTGCAGATTCTCGAAAAAGAGTGTTTCATAGCTGCTCTTTCAAAAGGAAAGTTCAACTCTGGGAGTTGAATACAAACATCACAAAATAGTTTCCGAGAATGCTTCTGTTTAGTTTTTATGTGAAGATGATCCCGTTTCCAGTGAAATCTTCAAAGAGGTCCACATATCCCCTTGCAGATTCCAAAGAAAGAGGGTTTCAAAACTGCTCCATCAGAAGGATTGTTCAACTCTGTGAGTTGAATGCAGTCATCGCAGAAAACTTTCTGAGAATGCTTCTGTCTAGGTTTGATGTGAAGATATAGACGTTTCAAACGAAGGCTACAAAGTGGTCAAAATATACACTTGCAGATTCTACTACAAGGGTGTTGCAAACCTGAACTATCAAAGGAAGGTTCAACTCTGTGAGTTGAATACAAACATCACAAAGAATGTTCTGAGTTTGCTTCCGTTCAGTTATGGGAAGTTGATCCCGTTTCCAACGAAATCCTCAGAGAGGTCCAAATATCCCCTTGCAGATTCTACAAAACGTGTGTTTGGAAACTGCTCCATCATAACGAATGTTCAGCTCCCTGAGTTAAACTCCATCGTCACAAAGAATTTTCTGAGAGTGCTACCGTCTGGTTTTTATATGAAGTTCTTTCCTTCACTACCACAGGCCTCAAAGCGGTCCAAATCTCCACTTGCAGATTCTACAAAAAGAGTGTTTGCAAACTGTTCTATCAAAAGGAATGTTCAACTCTGGGAGTTGAATGCAATCATCACAGAGCAGTTTCTGAGAATGCTTCTATGTCGTTTTTAGGAGAAGATATTTCCTTTTCCAACACAGTCCTCCAAGTCCGCTAAATAGCCACTTGCACATTGTAGAAAAAGTGTGTCAAAGCTGCGCTATCAAAGGGAAAGTTCAACTCTGTGAGGTGAATGCAAACATCCCAAAGAAGTTTCTGAGAATGCTTCCGTTTAGCTTTTAGGTGAAGATTATCCCGTTTCCAACGAAACCTTCAAAGAGGTCCAAATATCCCCTTGCGGATCCCACAGAAAGAGTGTTTCGAAACTGCTGTTTCAAAAGGAATCTTCAACTCTGTGAGTTGAATGCAATCATCACAAAGAAGTTTCTGACAATGCTTCTCTCTCGTCTTTCTGTGAAGATAAAGGAAAAGGCTTTCAGGCCTTTGCAACCACAGGCCTGAAAGCGCTCCAAATGTCCACTTGCAGATTCTGCGAAAAGAATATTTCAAAACTGCTCTATGAAAAGCAATGTTAAACTCTGTGGCTCGAACACAAACATCACAAAGCAGTTTCTGAGAATGCTTCAGTTTAGTTTTTCTGTGGAAATATTCCCGTTTCCAAAGAAATCTTCAAAGAGGTCCACGCATCCACTTACAGATTCTACAAAAAGACAGTTTCAAAACTGCTCCATCAAAAGGAGGGTTCAACTGTGTGACTTGAATGCAATCATCACTCAGAAGTTTCTGAGAATGCTTCTCTTTAGTTTTTACGTGAACATATACCCGTTTCGAACGAAGGCCACCCAGTGGTCCAAATATCCACTTGCAGATTATACAGAAAGAGTGTTTCGAACCTGAACTCTCAAAGGCAGGTTCATCTCTGCGAGTTAAATGCATTCATCATGAAGAACTTTCTCAGAGTGTTTGTGTTTAGTTATGGGAAATTATTCCCGTTTCCAACGAAATCCTCAGAGAGCTCCAAATATCCACCTGCAGATTCTACCAAAAGTGTATTTGGAAACTGCTCCATCAAAAGGCATGTTCAGCTCTGTGAGTGAAACTCCATCATCACAAAGAATATTCTGAGAATGCTTCCGTTTGCCTTTTATATGAAGTTCCTTCCTATACTACCGTAGGCCTCAAAGCAGTCCAAATCTCCATTTGCAGATTCTACAAAAAGAGTGATTCCAATCTGCTCTATCAATAGGATTGTTCAACTCCATGAGTTGAATGCCATCCTCACAAAGTAGTTTCTGAGAATGCTTCTATCTAGTTTTAATGTGAAGATATTTCCTTTTCCACCACAGGCCTCAAAGCCCTCCAAACGTCCACTTGCAGATTCTCGAAAAAGAGTGTTTCATAGCTGCTCTTTCAAAAGGAAAGTTCAACTCTGGGAGTTGAATACAAACATCACAAAGTAGTTTCCGAGAATGCTTCTGTTTAGTTTTTATGTGAAGATGATCCCGTTTCCAGTGAAATCTTCAAAGAGGTCCACATATCCCCTTGCAGATTCCAAAGAAAGAGGGTTTCAAAACTGCTCCATCAGAAGGATTGTTCAACTCTGTGAGTTGAATGCAGTCATCGCAGAAAACTTTCTGAGAATGCTTCTGTCTAGGTTTGATGTGAAGATATAGACGTTTCAAACGAAGGCTACAAAGTGGTCAAAATATACACTTGCAGATTCTACTACAAGGGTGTTGCAAACCTGAACTATCAAAGGAAGGTTCAAATCTGTGAATTGAATACAAACATCACAAAGAATGTTCTGAGTTTGCTTCCGTTCAGTTATGGGAAGTTGATCCCGTTTCCAACGAAATCCTCAGAGAGGTCCAAATATCCCCTCGCAGATTCTACAAAACGTGTGTTTGGAAACTGCTCCATCATAACGAATGTTCAGCTCCCTGAGTTAAACTCCATCGTCACAAAGAATTTTCTGAGAGTGCTACCGTCTGGTTTTTATATGAACTTCTTTCCTTCACTACCACAGGCCTCAAAGCGGTCCAAATCTCCACTTGCAGATTCTACAAAAAGAGTGTTTGCAAACTGCTCTATCAAAAGGAATGTTCAACTCTGGGAGTTGAATGCAATCATCACAGAGCAGTTTCTGAGAATGCTTCTATGTCGTTTTTAGGAGAAGATATTTCCTTTTCCAACACAGTCCTCCAAGCCCGCTAAATAGCCACTTGCACATTGTAGAAAAAGTGTGTCAAAGCTGCGCTATCAAAGGGAAAGTTCAACTCTGTGAGGTGAATGCAAACATCCCAAAGAAGTTTCTGAGAATGCTTCCGTTTAGCTTTTAGGTGAAGATTATCCCGTTTCCAACGAAACCTTCAAAGAGGTCCAAATATCCCCTTGCGGATCCCACAGAAAGAGTGTTTCGAAACTGCTGTTTCAAAAGGAATCTTCAACTCTGTGAGTTGAATGCAATCATCACAAAGAAGTTTCTGACAATGCTTCTCTCTCGTCTTTCTGTGAAGATAAATAAATGCTTTCAGGCCTTTGCCACCACAGGCCTGAAAGCGCTCCAAATGTCCACTTGCAGATTCTGCGAAAAGAATATTTCAAAACTGCTTTGTGAAAAGCAATGTTAAACTCTGTGGCTCGAACACAAACATCACAAAGCGGTTTCTGAGAATGCTTCAGTTTAGTTTTTCTGTGGAAATATTCCCGTTTCCAAAGAAATCTTCAAAGAGGTCCACGTATCCACTTACAGATTCTACAAAAAGACAGTTTCAAAACTGCTCCATCAAAAGGAGGGTTCAACTGTGTGACTTGAATGCAATCATCACTCAGAAGTTTCTGAGAATGCTTCTCTTTAGTTTTTACGTGAACATATACCCGTTTCGAACGAAGGCCACCCAGTGGTCCAAATATCCACTTGCAGATTCTACAGAAAGAGTGTTTCGAACCTGAACTCTCAAAGGCAGGTTCATCTCTGCGAGTTAAATGCATTCATCATGAAGAACTTTCTCAGAGTGTTTGTGTTTAGTTATGGGAAATTATTCCCGTTTCCAACGAAATCCTCAGAGAGCTCCAAATATCCACCTGCAGATTCTACCAAAAGTGTATTTGGAAACTGCTCCATCAAAAGGCATGTTCAGCTCTGTGAGTGAAACTCCATCATCACAAAGAATATTCTGAGAATGCTTCCGTTTGCCTTTTATATGAAGTTCCTTCCTATACTACCGTAGGCCTCAAAGCAGTCCAAATCTCCATTTGCAGATTCTACAAAAAGAGTGATTCCAATCTGCTCTATCAATAGGATTGTTCAACTCCATGAGTTGAATGCCATCCTCACAAAGTAGTTTCTGAGAATGCTTCTATCTGGTTTTTGTGTGAAGATATTTCCTTTTCCACCACAGGCCTCAAAGCCCTCCAAACGTCCACTTGCAGATTCTCGAAAAAGAGTGTTTCATAGCTGCTCTTTCAAAAGGAAAGTTCAACTCTGGGAGTTGAATACAAACATCACAAAGTAGTTTCCGAGAATGCTTCTGTTTAGTTTTTATGTGAAGATGATCCCGTTTCCAGTGAAATCTTCAAAGAGGTCCACATATCCCCTTGCAGATTCCAAAGAAAGAGGGTTTCAAAACTGCTCCATCAGAAGGATTGTTCAACTCTGTGAGTTGAATGCAGTCATCGCAGAAAACTTTCTGAGAATGCTTCTGTCTAGGTTTGATGTGAAGATATAGACGTTTCAAACGAAGGCTACAAAGTGGTCAAAATATACACTTGCAGATTCTACTACAAGGGTGTTGCAAACCTGAACTATCAAAGGAAGGTTCAACTCTGTGAGTTGAATACAAACATCACAAAGAATGTTCTGAGTTTGCTTCCGTTCAGTTATGGGAAGTTGATCCCGTTTCCAACGAAATCCTCAGAGAGGTCCAAATATCCCCTTGCAGATTCTACAAAACGTGTGTTTGGAAACTGCTCCATCATAACGAATGTTCAGCTCCCTGAGTTAAACTCCATCGTCACAAAGAATTTTCTGAGAGTGTTACCGTCTGGTTTTTATATGAAGTTCTTTCCTTCACTACCACAGGCCTCAAAGCGGTCCAAATCTCCACTTGCAGATTCTACAAAAAGAGTGTTTGCAAACTGCTCTATCAAAAGGAATGTTCAACTCTGGGAGTTGAATGCAATCATCACAGAGCAGTTTCTGAGAATGCTTCTATGTCGTTTTTAGGAGAAGATATTTCCTTTTCCAACACAGTCCTCCAAGCCCGCTAAATAGCCACTTGCACATTGTAGAAAAAGTGTGTCAAAGCTGCGCTATCAAAGGGAAAGTTCAACTCTGTGAGGTGAATGCAAACATCCCAAAGAAGTTTCTGAGAATGCTTCCGTTTAGCTTTTAGGTGAAGATTATCCCGTTTCCAACGAAACCTTCAAAGAGGTCCAAATATCCCCTTGCGGATCCCACAGAAAGAGTGTTTCGAAACTGCTGTTTCAAAAGGAATCTTCAACTCTGTGAGTTGAATGCAATCATCACAAAGAAGTTTCTGACAATGCTTCTCTCTCGTCTTTCTGTGAAAATAAAGGAAAAGGCTTTCAGGCCTTTTCCACCACAGGCCTGAAAGCGCTCCAAATGTCCACTTGCAGATTCTGCCAAAAGAATATTTCAAAACTGCTCTATGAAAAGCAATGTTAAACTCTGTGGCTCGAACACAAACATCACAAAGCAGTTTCTGAGAATGCTTCAGTTTAGTTTTTCTGTGGAAATATTCCCGTTTCCAAAGAAATCTTCAAAGAGGTCCACGTATCCACTTACAGATTCTACAAAAAGACAGTTTCAAAACTGCTCCATCAAAAGGAGGGTTCAACTGTGTGAATTGAATGCAATCATCACTCAGAAGTTTCTGAGAATGCTTCTCTTTAGTTTTTACGTGAACATATACCCGTTTCGAACGAAGGCCACCCAGTGGTCCAAATATCCACTTGCAGATTATACAGAAAGAGTGTTTCGAACCTGAACTCTCAAAGGCAGGTTCATCTCTGCGAGTTAAATGCATTCATCATGAAGAACTTTCTCAGAGTGTTTGTGTTTAGTTATGGGAAATTATTCCCGTTTCCAACGAAATCCTCAGAGAGCTCCAAATATCCACCTGCAGATTCTACCAAAAGTGTATTTGGAAACTGCTCCATCAAAAGGCATGTTCAGCTCTGTGAGTGAAACTCCATCATCACAAAGAATATTCTGAGAATGCTTCCGTTTGCCTTTTATATGAAGTTCCTTCCTGTACTACCGTAGGCCTCAAAGCAGTCCAAATCTCCATTTGCAGATTCTATAAAAAGAGTGATTCCAATCTGCTCTATCAATAGGATTGTTCAACTCCATGAGTTGAATGCCATCCTCACAAAGTAGTTTCTGAGAATGCTTCTATCTGGTTTTTGTGTGAAGATATTTCCTTTTCCACCACAGGCCTCAAAGCCCTCCAAACGTCCACTTGCAGATTCTCGAAAAAGAGTGTTTCATAGCTGCTCTTTCAAAAGGAAAGTTCAACTCTGGGAGTTGAATACAAACATCACAAAATAGTTTCCGAGAATGCTTCTGTTTAGTTTTTATGTGAAGATGATCCCGTTTCCAGTGAAATCTTCAAAGAGGTCCACATATCCCCTTGCAGATTCCAAAGAAAGAGGGTTTCAAAACTGCTCCATCAAAAGGATTGTTCAACTCTGTGAGTTGAATGCAGTCATCGCAGAAAACTTTCTGAGAATGCTTCTTTCTAGGTTTGATGTGAAGATATAGACGTTTCAAACGAAGGCTACAAAGTGGTCAAAATATACACTTGCAGATTCTACTACAAGGGTGTTGCAAACCTGAACTATCAAAGGAAGGTTCAACTCTGTGAGTTGAATACAAACATCACAAAGAATGTTCTGAGTTTGCTTCCGTTCAGTTATGGGAAGTTGATCCCGTTCCCAACGAAATCCTCAGAGAGGTCCAAATATCCCCTTGCAGATTCTACAAAACGTGTGTTTGGAAACTGCTCCATCATAACGAATGTTCAGCTCTCTGAGTTAAACTCCATCGTCACAAAGAATTTTCTGAGAGTGCTACCGTCTGGTTTTTATATGAAGTTCTTTCCTTTACTACCACAGGCCTCAAAGCGGTCCAAATCTCCACTTGCAGATTCTACAAAAAGAGTGTTTGCAAACTGCTCTATCAAAAGGAATGTTCAACTCTGGGAGTTGAATGCAATCATCACAGAGCAGTTTCTGAGAATGCTTCTATGTCGTTTTTAGGAGAAGATATTTCCTTTTCCAACACAGTCCTCCAAGCCCGCTAAATATCCACTTGCACATTGTAGAAAAAGTGTGTCGAAGCTGCGCTATCAAAGGGAAAGTTCAACTCTGTGAGGTGAATGCAAACATCCCAAAGAAGTTTCTGAGAATGCTTCCGTTTAGCTTTTAGGTGAAGATTATCCCGTTTCCAACGAAATCTTCAAAGAGGTCCAAATATCCCCTTGCGGATCCCACAGAAAGAGTGTTTCGAAACTGCTGTTTCAAAAGGAATCTTCAACTCTGTGAGTTGAATGCAATCATCACAAAGAAGTTTCTGACAATGCTTCTCTCTCGTCTTTCTGTGAAGATAAAGGAAAAGGCTTTCAGGCCTTTTCCACCACAGGCCTGAAAGCGCTCCAAATGTCCACTTGCAGATTCTGCCAAAAGAATATTTCAAAACTGCTCTATGAAAAGCAATGTTAAACTCTGCGGCTCGAACACAAACATCACAAAGCAGTTTCTGAGAATGCTTCGGTTAAGTTTTTCTGTGGAAATATTCCCGTTTCCAAAGAAATCTTCAAAGAGGTCCACGCATCCACTTACAGATTCTACAAAAAGACAGTTTCAAAACTGCTCAATCAAAAGGAGGGTTCAACTGTGTGACTTGAATGCAATCATCACTCAGAAGTTTCTGAGAACGCTTCTCTTTAGTTTTTACGTGAACATATACCCGTTTCGAACGAAGGCCAGCCAGTGGTCCAAATATCCACTTGCAGATTCTACAGAAAGAGTGTTTCGAACCTGAACTCTCAAAGGCAGGTTCATCTCTGCGAGTTAAATGCATTCATCATGAAGAACTTTCTCAGCGTGTTTGTGTTTAGTTATGGGAAATTATTCCCGTTTCCAACGAAATCCTCAGAGAGCTCCAAATATCCACCTGCAGATTCTACCAAAAGTGTATTTGGAAACTGCTCCATGAAAAGGCATGTTCAGCTCTGTGAGTGAAACTCCGTCATCACAAAGAATATTCTGAGAATGCTTCCGTTTGCCTTTTATATGAAGTTCCTTCCTATACTACCGTAGGCCTCAAAGCAGTCCAAATCTCCATTTGCAGATTCTACAAAAAGAGTGATTCCAATCTGCTCTATCAATAGGATTGTTCAACTCCATGAGTTGAATGCCATCCTCACAAAGTAGTTTCTGAGAATGCTTCTATGTAGTTTTTATGTGAAGATATTTCCTTTTCCACCACAGGCCTCAAAGCCCTCCAAACGTCCACTTGCAGATTCCCGAAAAAGAGTGTTTCATAGCTGCTCTTTCAAAAGGAAAGTTCAACTCTGGGAGTTGAATACAAACATCACAAAGTAGTTTCCGAGAATGCTTCTGTTTAGTTCTTATGTGAAGATGATCCCGTTTCCAGTGAAATCTTCAAAGAGGTCCACATATCCCCTTGCAGATTCCAAAGAAAGAGGGTTTCAAAACTGCTCCATCAAAACGATTGTTCAACTCTGTGAGTTGAATGCAGTCATCGCAGAAAACTTTCTGAGAATGCTTCTGTCTAGGTTTGATGTGAAGATATAGACGTTTCAAACGAAGGCTACAAAGTGGTCAAAATATACACTTGCAGATTCTACTACAAGGGTGTTGCAAACCTCAACTATCAAAGGAAGGTTCAACTCTGTGAGACGAATGCAAACATCACAAAGAATGTTCTGAGTTTGCTTCCGTTCAGTTATGGGAAGTTGATCCCGTTTCCAACGAAATCCTCAGAGAGGTCCAAATATCCCCTTGCAGATTCTACAAAACGTGTGTTTGGAAACTGCTCCATCATAACGAATGTTCAGCTCTCTGAGTTAAACTCCATCGTCACAAAGAATTTTCTGAGAGTGCTACCGTCTACTTTTTATATGAAGTTCTTTGCTTTACTACCACAGGCCTCAAAGCGGTCCAAATCTCCACTTGCAGATTCTACAAAAAGAGTGTTTGCAAACTGCTCTATCAAAAGGAATGTTCAACTCTGGGAGTTGAATGCAATCATCACAGAGCAGTTTCTGAGAATGCTTCTATGTCGTTTTTAGGAGAAGATATTTCCTTTTCCAACACAGTCCTCCAAGCCCGCTAAATATCCACTTGCACATTGTAGAAAAAGTGTGTCGAAGCTGCGCTATCAAAGGGAAAGTTCAACTCTGTGAGGTGAATGCAAACATCCCAAAGAAGTTTCTGAGAATGCTTCCGTTTAGCTTTAAGTGAAGATTATCCCGTTTCCAACGAAATCTTCAAAGAGGTCCAAATATCCCCTTGCGGATCCCACAGAAAGAGTGTTTCGAAACTGCTGTTTCAAAAGGAATCTTCAACTCTGTGAGTTGAATGCAATCATCACAAAGAAGTTTCTGACAATGCTTCTCTCTCGTCTTTCTGTGAAGATAAAGGAAAAGGCTTTCAGGCCATTTCCACCACAGGCCTGAAAGCGCTCCAAATGTCCACTTGCAGATTCTGCCAAAAGAATATTTCAAAACTGCTCTATGAAAAGCAATGTTAAACTCTGCGGCTCGAACACAAACATCACAAAGCAGTTTCTGAGAATGCTTCAGTTTAGTTTTTCTGTGGAAATATTCCCGTTTCCAAAGAAATCTTCAAAGAGGTCCACGCATCCACTTACAGATTCTACAAAAAGACAGTTTCAAAACTGCTCAATCAAAAGGAGGGTTCAACTGTGTGACTTGAATGCAATCATCACTCAGAAGTTTCTGAGAACGCTTCTCTTTAGTTTTTACGTGAACATATACCCGTTTCGAACGAAGGCCAGCCAGTGGTCCAAATATCCACTTGCAGATTCTACAGAAAGAGTGTTTCGAACCTGAACTCTCAAAGGCAGGTTCATCTCTGCGAGTTAAATGCATTCATCATGAAGAACTTTCTCAGCGTGTTTGTGTTTAATTATGGGAAATTATTCCCGTTTCCAACGAAATCCTCAGAGAGGTCCAAATATCCACCTGCAGATTCTACCAAAAGTGTATTTGGAAACTGCTCCATCAAAAGGCATGTTCAGCTCTGTGAGGGAAACTCCATCATCACAAAGAATATTCTGAGAATGCTTCCGTTTGCCTTTTATATGAAGTTCCTTCCTATACTACCGTAGGCCTCAAAGCAGTCCAAATCTCCATTTGCAGATTCTACAAAAAGAGTGATTCCAATCTGCTCTATCAATAGGATTGTTCAACTCCATGAGTTGAATGCCATCCTCACAAAGTAGTTTCTGAGAATGCTTCTATCTAGTTTTTATGTGAAGATATTTCCTTTTCCACCACAGGCCTCAAAGCCCTCCAAACGTCCACTTGCAGATTCTAGAAAAAGAGTGTTTCATAGCTGCTCTTTCAAAAGGAAAGTTCAACTCTGGGAGGTGAATACAAACATCACAAAGTAGTTTCCGAGAATGCTTCTGTTTAGTTCTTATGTGAAGATGATCCCGTTTCCAGTGAAATCTTCAAAGAGGTCCACATATCCCCTTGCAGATTCCAAAGAAAGAGGGTTTCAAAACTGCTCCATCAAAAGGATTGTTCAACTCTGTGAGTTGAATGCAGTCATCGCAGAAAACTTTCTGAGAATGCTTCTGTCTAGGTTTGATGTGAAGATATAGACGTTTCAAACGAAGGCTACAAAGTGGTCAAAATATACACTTGCAGATTCTACTACAAGGGTGTTGCAAACCTCAACTATCAAAGGAAGGTTCAACTCTGTGAGACGAATGCAAACATCACAAAGAATGTTCTGAGTTTGCTTCCGTTCAGTTATGGGAAGTTGATCCCGTTTCCAACGAAATCCTCAGAGAGGTCCAAATATCCCCTTGCAGATTCTACAAAACGTGTGTTTGGAAACTGCTCCATCATAACGAATGTTCAGCTCTCTGAGTTAAACTCCATCGTCACAAAGAATTTTCTGAGAGTGCTACCGTCTAGTTTTTATATGAAGTTCTTTGCTTTACTACCACAGGCCTCAAAGCGGTCCAAATCTCCACTTGCAGATTCTACAAAAAGAGTGTTTGCAAACTGCTCTATCAAAAGGAATGTTCAACTCTGGGAGTTGAATGCAATCATCACAGAGCAGTTTCTGAGAATGCTTCTATGTCGTTTTTAGGAGAAGATATTTCCTTTTCCAACACAGTCCTCCAAGCCCGCTAAATAGCCACTTGCACATTGTAGAAAAAGAGTGTCGAAGCTGCGCTATCAAAGGGAAAGTTCAACTCTGTGAGGTGAATACAAACATCCCAACGAAGTTTCTGAGAATGCTTCCGTTTAGCTTTTAGGTGAAGATTATCCCGTTTCCAACGAAATCTTCAAAGAAGTCCAAATATCCCCTTGCGGATCCCACAGAAAGAGTGTTTCGAAACTGCTGTTTCAAAAGGAATCTTCAACTCTGTGAGTTGAATGCAATCATCACAAAGAAGTTTCTGACAATGCTTCTCTCTCGTCTTTCTGTGAAGATAAAGGAAAAGGCTTTCAGGCCTTTTCCACCACAGGCCTGAAAGCGCTCCAAATGTCCACTTGCAGATTCTGCCAAAAGAATATTTCAAAACTGCTCTATGAAAAGCAATGTTAAACTCTGTGGCTCGAACACAAACATCACAAAGCAGTTTCTGAGAATGCTTCAGTTTAGTTTTTCTGTGGAAATATTCCCGTTTCCAAAGAAATCTTCAAAGAGGTCCACGCATCCACTTACAGATTCTACAAAAAGACAGTTTCAAAACTGCTCAATCAAAAGGAGGGTTCAACTGTGTGACTTGAATGCAATCATCACTCAGAAGTTTCTGAGAACGCTTCTCTTTAGTTTTTACGTGAACATATACCCGTTTCGAACGAAGGCCACCCAGTGGTCCAAATATCCACTTGCAGATTCTACAGAAAGAGTGTTTCGAACCTGAACTCTCAAAGGCAGGTTCATCTCTGCGAGTTAAATGCATTCATCATGAAGAACTTTCTCAGCGTGTTTGTGTTTAGTTATGGGAAATTATTCCCGTTTCCAACGAAATCCTCAGAGAGGTCCAAATATCCACCTGCAGATTCTACCAATAGTTTATTTGGAAACTGCTCCATCAAAAGGCATGTTCAGCTCTGTGAGTGAAACTCCATCATCACAAAGAATATTCTGAGAATGCTTCCGTTTGCCTTTTATATGAAGTTCCTTCCTATACTACCGTAGGCCTCAAAGCAGTCCAAATCTCCATTTGCAGATTCTACAAAAAGAGTGATTCCAATCTGCTCTATCAATAGGATTGTTCAACTCCATGAGTTGAATGCCATCCTCACAAAGCCTTTTCTGAGAATGCTTCTATCTAGTTTTCATGTGAAGATATTTCCTTTTCCACCACAGGCCTCAAAGCCCTCCAAACGTCCACTTGCAGATTCTCGAAAAAGTGTGTTTCATAGCTGCTCTTTCAAAAGGAAAGTTCAACTCTGGGAGTTGAATACAAACATCACAAAGTAGTTTCCGAGAATGCTTCTGTTTAGTTCTTATGTGAAGATGATCCCGTTTCCAGTGAAACCTTCAAAGAGGTCCACATATCCCCTTGCAGATTCCAAAGAAAGAGGGTTTCAAAACTGCTCCATCAAAAGGATTGTTCAACTCTGTGAGTTGAATGCAGTCATCGCAGAAAACTTTCTGAGAATGCTTCTGTCTAGGTTTGATGTGAAGATATAGACGTTTCAAACGAACGCTACAAAGTGGTCAAAATATACACTTGCAGATTCTACTACAAGGGTGATGCAAACCTGAACTATCAAAGGAAGGTTCAACTCTGTGAGTTGAATACAAACATCACAAAGAATGTTCTGAGTTTGCTTCCGTTCAGCTATGGGAAGTTGATCCCGTTTCCAACGAAATCCTCAGAGAGGTCCAAATATCCCCTTGCAGATTCTACAAAACGTGTGTTTGGAAACTGCTCCATCATAACGAATGTTCAGCTCTCTGAGTTAAACTCCATCGTCACAAAGAATTTTCTGAGGGTGCTACCGTCTAGTTTTTATATGAAGTTCTTTCCTTTACTACCACAGGCCTCAAAGCGGTCCAAATCTCCACTTGCAGATTCTACAAAAAGAGTGTTTGCAAACTGCTCTATCAAAAGGAATGTTCAACTCTGGGAGTTGAATGCAATCATCACAGAGCAGTTTCTGAGAATGCTTCTATGTCGTTTTTAGGAGAAGATATTTCCTTTTCCAACACAGTCCTCCAAGCCCGCTAAATATCCACTTGCACATTGTAGAAAAAGTGTGTCGAAGCTGCGCTATCAAAGGGAAAGTTCAACTCTGTGAGGTGAATGCAAACATCCCAAAGAAGTTTCTGAGAATGCTTCCGTTTAGCTTTAAGTGAAGATTATCCCGTTTCCAACGAAATCTTCAAAGAGGTCCAAATATCCCCTTGCGGATCCCACAGAAAGAGTGTTTCGAAACTGCTGTTTCAAAAGGAATCTTCAACTCTGTGAGTTGAATGCAATCATCACAAAGAAGTTTCTGACAATGCTTCTCTCTCGTCTTTCTGTGAAGATAAAGGAAAAGGCTTTCAGGCCTTTTCCACCACAGGCCTGAAAGCGCTC
Source organism: Homo sapiens (assembly GCF_000001405.40). Lineage (NCBI taxonomy): Eukaryota > Metazoa > Chordata > Mammalia > Primates > Hominidae > Homo > Homo sapiens. The sequence continues at coordinate 58,755,764 of NC_000023.11, read as the reverse complement.
CAAATGTCCACTTGCAGATTCTGCCAAAAGAATATTTCAAAACTGCTCTATGAAAAGCAATGTTAAACTCTGCGGCTCGAACACAAACATCACAAAGCAGTTTCTGAGAATGCTTCAGTTTAGTTTTTCTGTGGAAATATTCCCGTTTCCAAAGAAATCTTCAAAGAGGTCCACGCATCCACTTACAGATTCTACAAAAAGACAGTTTAAAAACTGCTCAATCAAAAGGAGGGTTCAACTGTGTGACTTGAATGCATTCATCACTCAGAAGTTTCTGAGAACGCTTCTCTTTAGTTTTTACGTGAACATATACCCGTTTCGAACGAAGGCCAGCCAGTGGTCCAAATATCCACTTGCAGATTCTACAGAAAGAGTGTTTTGAACCTGAACTCTCAAAGGCAGGTTCATCTCTGCGAGTTAAATGCATTCATCATGAAGAACTTTCTCAGCGTGTTTGTGTTTAGTTATGGGAAATTATTCCCGTTTCCAACGAAATCCTCAGAGAGCTCCAAATATCCACCTGCAGATTCTACCAAAAGTGTATTTGGAAACTGCTCCATGAAAAGGCATGTTCAGCTCTGTGAGTGAAACTCCGTCATCACAAAGAATATTCTGAGAATGCTTCAGTTTGCCTTTTATATGAAGTTCCCTCCTATACTACCGTAGGCCTCAAAGCAGTCCAAATCTCCATTTGCAGATTCTACAAAAAGAGTGATTCCAATCTGCTCTATCAATAGGATTGTTCAACTCCATGAGTTGAATGCCATCCTCACAAAGTAGTTTCTGAGAATGCTTCTATGTAGTTTTTATGTGAAGATATTTCCTTTTCCACCACAGGCCTCAAAGCCCTCCAAACGTCCACTTGCAGATTCTCGAAAAAGAGTGTTTCATAGCTGCTCTTTCAAAAGGAAAGTTCAACTCTGGGAGTTGAATACAAACATCACAAAGTAGTTTCCGAGAATGCTTCTGTTTAGTTCTTATGTGAAGATGATCCCGTTTCCAGTGAAATCTTCAAAGAGGTCCACATATCCCCTTGCAGATTCCAAAGAAAGAGGGTTTCAAAACTGCTCCATCAAAAGGATTGTTCAACTCTGTGAGTTGAATGCAGTCATCGCAGAAAACTTTCTGAGAATGCTTCTGTCTAGGTTTGATGTGAAGATATAGACGTTTCAAACGAAGGCTACAAAGTGGTCAAAATATACACTTGCAGATTCTACTACAAGGGTGTTGCAAGCCTGAACTATCAAAGGAAGGTTCAACTCTGTGAGTTGAATACAAACATCGCAAAGAATGCTCTGAGTTTGCTTCCGTTCAGTTATGGGAAGTTGATCCCGTTTCCAACGAAATCCTCAGAGAGGTCCAAATATCCCCTTGCAGATTCTACAAAACGTGTGTTTGGAAACTGCTCCATCATAACGAATGTTCAGCTCTCTGAGTTAAACTCCATCGTCACAAAGAATTTTCTGAGAGTGCTACCGTCTGGTTTTTATATGAAGTTCTTTCCTTTACTACCACAGGCCTCAAAGCGGTCCAAATCTCCACTTGCAGATTCTACAAAAACAGTGTTTGCAAACTGCTCTATCAAAAGGAATGTTCAACTCTGGGAGTTGAATGCAATCATCACAGAGCAGTTTCTGAGAATGCTTCTATGTCGTTTTTAGGAGAAGATATTTCCTTTTCCAACACAGTCCTCCAAGCCCGCTAAAGGTCCACTTGCACACTTTAGAAAAAGTGTGTCGAAGCTGCGCTATCAAAGGGAAAGTTCAACTCTGTGAGGTGAATGCAAACATCCCAAAGAAGTTTCTGAGAATGCTTCCGTTTAGCTTTTAGGTGAAGATTATCCCGTTTCCAACGAAACCTTCAAAGAGGTCCAAATATCCCCTTGCGGATCCCACAGAAAGAGTGTTTCGAAACTGCTGTTTCAAAAGGAATCTTCAACTCTGTGAGTTGAATGCAATCATCACAAAGAAGTTTCTGACAATGCTTCTCTCTCGTCTTTCTGTGAAGATAAAGGAAAAGGCTTTCAGGCCTTTTCCACCACAGGCCTGAAAGCGCTCCAAATGTCCACTTGCAGATTCTGCCAAAAGAATATTTCAAAACTGCTCTATGAAAAGCAATGTTAAACTCTGTGGCTCGAACACAAACATCACAAAGCGGTTTCTGAGAATGCTTCAGTTTAGTTTTTCTGTGGAAATATTCCCGTTTCCAAAGAAATCTTCAAAGAGGTCCACGTATCCACTTACAGATTCTACAAAAAGACAGTTTCAAAACTGCTCCATCAAAAGGAGGGTTCAACTGTGTGACTTGAATGCAATCATCACTCAGAAGTTTCTGAGAATGCTTCTCTTTAGTTTTTACGTGAACATATACCCGTTTCGAACGAAGGCCACCCAGTGGTCCAAATATCCACTTGCAGATTCTACAGAAAGAGTGTTTCGAACCTGAACTCTCAAAGGCAGGTTCATCTCTGCGAGTTAAATGCATTCATCATGAAGAACTTTCTCAGAGTGTTTGTGTTTAGTTATGGGAAATTATTCCCGTTTCCAACGAAATCCTCAGAGAGCTCCAAATATCCACCTGCAGATTCTACCAAAAGTGTATTTGGAAACTGCTCCATCAAAAGGCATGTTCAGCTCTGTGAGTGAAACTCCATCATCACAAAGAATATTCTGAGAATGCTTCCGTTTGCCTTTTATATGAAGTTCCTTCCTATACGACCGTAGGCCTCAAAGCAGTCCAAATCTCCATTTGCAGATTCTACAAAAAGAGTGATTCCAATCTGCTCTATCAATAGGATTGTTCAACTCCATGAGTTGAATGCCATCCTCACAAAGTCGTTTCTGAGAATGCTTCTATCTAGTTTTTATGTGAAGATATTTCCTTTTCCACCACAGGCCTCAAAGCCCTCCAAACGTCCACTTGCAGATTCTCGAAAAAGAGTGTTTCATAGCTGCTCTTTCAAAAGGAAAGTTCAACTCTGGGAGTTGAATACAAACATCACAAAGTAGTTTCCGAGAATGCTTCTGTTTAGTTGTTATGTGAAGATGATCCCGTTTCCAGTGAAATCTTCAAAGAGGTCCATATATCCCCTTGCAGATTCCAAAGAAAGAGGGTTTCAAAACTGCTCCATCAAAAGGATTGTGCAACTCTGTGAGTTGAATGCAGTCATCGCAGAAAACTTTCTGAGAATGCTTCTGTCTAGGTTTGATGTGAAGATATAGACGTTTCAAACGAAGGCTACAAAGTGGTCAAAATATACACTTGCAGATTCTACTACAAGGGTGATGCAAACCTCAACTATCAAAGGAAGGTTCAACTCTGTGAGTTGAATACAAACATCACAAAGAATGTTCTGAGTTTGCTTCCGTTCAGTTATGGGAAGTTGATCCCGTTTCCAACGAAATCCTCAGAGAGGTCCAAATATCCCCTTGCAGATTCTACAAAACGTGTGTTTGGAAACTGCTCCATCATAACGGATGTTCAGCTCTCTGAGTTAAACTCCATCGTCACAAAGAATTTTCTGAGAGTGCTACCGTCTGGTTTTTATATGAAGTTGTTTCCTTTACTACCACAGGCCTCAAAGCGGTCCAAATCTCCACTTGCAGATTCTACAAAAAGAGTGTTTGCAAACTGCTCTATCAAAAGGAATGTTCAACTCTGGGAGTTGAATGCAATCATCACAGAGCAGTTTCTGAGAATGCTTCTATGTCGTTTTTAGGAGAAGATATTTCCTTTTCCAACACAGTCCTCCAAGCCCGCTAAATATCCACTTGCACATTGTAGAAAAAGTGTGTCGAAGCTGCGCTATCAAAGGGAAAATTCAACTCTCTGAGGTGAATGCAAACATCCAAAAGAAGTTTCTGAGAATGCTTCCCGTTTAGCTTTTAGGTGAGGATTATCCCGTTTCCAACGAAACCTTCAAAGAGGTCCAAATATCCCCTTGCGGATCCCACAGAAAGAGTGTTTCGAAACTGCTGTTTCAAAAGGAATCTTCAACTCTGTGAGTTGAATGCAATCATCACAAAGAAGTTTCTGACAATGCTTCTCTCTCGTCTTTCTGTGAAGATAAAGGAAAAGGCTTTCAGGCCTTTTCCACCACAGGCCTGAAAGCGCTCCAAATGTCCACTTGCAGATTCTGCGAAAAGAATATTTCAAAACTGATCTATGAAAAGCAATGTTAAACTCTGTGGCTCGAACACAAACATCACAAAGCAGTTTCTGAGAATGCTTCAGTTTAGTTTTTCTGTGGAAATATTCCCGTTTCAAAGAAATCTTCAAAGAGGTCCACGTATCCACTTACAGATTCTACAAAAAGACAGTTTCAAAACTGCTCCATCAAAAGGAGGGTTCAACTGTGTGACTTGAATGCAATCATCACTCAGAAGTTTCTGAGAATGCTTCTCTTTAGTTTTTACGTGAACATATACCCGTTTCGAACGAAGGCCACCCAGTGGTCCAAATATCCACTTGCAGATTCTACAGAAAGAGTGTTTCGAACCTGAACTCTCAAAGGCAGGTTCATCTCTGCGAGTTAAATGCATTCATCATGAAGAACTTTCTCAGAGTGTTTGTGTTTAGTTATGGGAAATTATTCCCGTTTCCAACGAAATCCTCAGAGAGCTCCAAATATCCACCTGCAGATTCTACCAAAAGTGTATTTGGAAACTGCTCCATCAAAAGGCATGTTCAGCTCTGTGAGTGAAACTCCATCATCACAAAGAATATTCTGAGAATGCTTCCGTTTGCCTTTTATATGAAGTTCCTTCCTATACGACCGTAGGCCTCAAAGCAGTCCAAATCTCCATTTGCAGATTCTACAAAAAGAGTGATTCCAATCTGCTCTATCAATAGGATTGTTCAACTCCATGAGTTGAATGCCATCCTCACAAAGTCGTTTCTGAGAATGCTTCTATCTAGTTTTTATGTGAAGATATTTCCTTTTCCACCACAGGCCTCAAAGCCCTCCAAACGTCCACCTGCAGATTCTCGAAAAACAGTGTTTCATAGCTGCTCTTTCAAAAGGAAAGTTCAACTCTGGGAGTTGAATACAAACATCACAAAGTAGTTTCCGAGAATGCTTCTGTTTAGTTTTTATGTGAAGATGATCCCGTTTCCAGTGAAATCTTCAAAGAGGTCCACATATCCCCTTGCAGATTCCAAAGAAAGAGGGTTTCAAAACTGCTCCATCAGAAGGATTGTTCAACTCTGTGAGTTGAATGCAGTCATCGCAGAAAACTTTCTGAGAATGCTTCTGTCTAGGTTTGATGTGAAGATATAGACGTTTCAAACGAAGGCTACAAAGTGGTCAAAATATACACTTGCAGATTCTACTACAAGGGTGTTGCAAACCTGAACTATCAAAGGAAGGTTCAACTCTGTGAGTTGAATACAAACATCACAAAGAATGTTCTGAGTTTGCTTCCGTTCAGTTATGGGATGTTGATCCCGTTTCCAACGAAATCCTCAGAGAGGTCCAAATATCCCCTTGCAGATTCTACAAAACGTGTGTTTGGAAACTGCTCCATCATAACGAATGTTCAGCTCCCTGAGTTAAACTCCATCGTCACAAAGAATTTTCTGAGAGTGCTACCGTCTGGTTTTTATATGAAGCTCTTTCCTTCACTACCACAGGCCTCAAAGCGGTCCAAATCTCCACTTGCAGATTCTACAAAAAGAGTGTTTGCAAACTGCTCTATCAAAAGGAATGTTCAACTCTGGGAGTTGAATGCAATCATCACAGAGCAGTTTCTGAGAATGCTTCTATGTCGTTTTTAGGAGAAGATATTTCCTTTTCCAACACAGTCCTCCAAGCCCGCTAAATAGCCACTTGCACATTGTAGAAAAAGTGTGTCAAAGCTGCGCTATCAAAGGGAAAGTTCAACTGTGTGAGGTGAATGCAAACATCCCAAAGAAGTTTCTGAGAATGCTTCCGTTTAGCTTTTAGGTGAAGATTATCCCGTTTCCAACGAAACCTTCAAAGAGGTCCAAATATCCCCTTGCGGATCCCACAGAAAGAGTGTTTCGAAACTGCTGTTTCAAAAGGAATCTTCAACTCTGTGAGTTGAATGCAATCATCCCAAAGAAGTTTCTGACAATGCTTCTCTCTCGTCTTTCTGTGAAGATAAAGGAAAAGGCTTTCAGGCCTTTTCCACCACAGGCCTGAAAGCGCTCCAAATGTCCACTTGCAGATTCTGCCAAAAGAATATTTCAAAACTGCTCTATGAAAAGCAATGTTAAACTCTGTGGCTCGAACACAAACATCACAAAGCGGTTTCTGAGAATGCTTCAGTTTAGTTTTTCTGTGGAAATATTCCCGTTTCCAAAGAAATCTTCAAAGAGGTCCACTTATCCACTTACAGATTCTACAAAAAGACAGTTTCAAAACTGCTCCATCAAAAGGAGGGTTCAACTGTGTGACTTGAATGCAATCATCACTCAGAAGTTTCTGAGAATGCTTCTCTTTAGTTTTTACGTGAACATATACCCGTTTCGAACGAAGGCCAGCCAGTGGTCCAAATATCCACTTGCAGATTCTACAGAAAGAGTGTTTCGAACCTGAACTCTCAAAGGCAGGTTCATCTCTGCGAGTTAAATGCATTCATCATGAAGAACTTTCTCAGAGTGTTTGTGTTTAGTTATGGGAAATTATTCCCGTTTCCAACGAAATCCTCAGAGAGCTCCAAATATCCACCTGCAGATTCTACCAAAAGTGTATTTGGAAACTGCTCCATCAAAAGGCATGTTCAGCTCTGTGAGTGAAACTCCATCATCACAAAGAATATTCTGAGAATGCTTCCGTTTGCCTTTTATATGAAGTTCCTTCCTATACGACCGTAGGCCTCAAAGCAGTCCAAATCTCCATTTGCAGATTCTACAAAAAGAGTGATTCCAATCTGCTCTATCAATAGGATTGTTCAACTCCATGAGTTGAATGCCATCCTCACAAAGTAGTTTCTGAGAATGCTTCTATCTAGTTTTTATGTGAAGATATTTCCTTTTCCACCACAGGCCTCAAAGCCCTCCAAACGTCCACTTGCAGATTCTCGAAAAAGAGTGTTTCATAGCTGCTCTTTCAAAAGGAAAGTTCAACTCTGGCAGTTGAATACAAACATCACAAAGTAGTTTCCGAGAATGCTCTGTTTAGTTTTTATGTGAAGATGATCCCGTTTCCAGTGAAATCTTCAAAGAGGTCCACATATCCCCTTGCAGATTCCAAAGAAAGAGGGTTTCAAAACTGCTCCATCAGAAGGATTGTTCAACTCTGTGAGTTGAATGCAGTCATCGCAGAAAACTTTCTGAGAATGCTTTCTGTCTAGGTTTGTTGTGAAGTTATAGACGTTTAAAACGAAGGCTACAAAGTGGTCAAAACATACACTTACAGATTCTACTACAAGGGTGTTGCAAACCTGAACTATCAAAGGAAGGTTCAACTCTGTGGGTTGAATACAAACATCGCAAAGAATGTTCTGAGTTTGCTTCCGTTCAGTTATGGGAAGTTGATCCCGTTTACAACGAAATCCTCAGAGAGGTCCAAATATCCCCTTGCAGATTCTTCAAAACGTGTGTTTGGAAACTGCTCCATCATAACGAATGTTCAGCTCCCTGAGTTAAACTCCATCGTCACAAAGAATTTTCTGAGAGTGCTACCGTCTAGTTTTTATATGAAGTTCTTTCCTTTACTACCACAGGCCTCAAAGCGGTCCAAATCTCCACTTGCAGATTCTACAAAAAGAGTGTCTGCAAACTGCTCTATCAAAAGGAATGTTCAACTCTGGGAATTGAATGCAATCATCACAGAGCAGTTTCTGAGAATGCTTCTATGTCGTTTTTAGGAGAAGATATTTCCTTTTCCAACACAGTCTTCCAAGCCCGCTTAAAAGCCACTTGCACATTGTAGAAAAAGTGTGTCGAAGCTGCGCTATCAAAGGGAAAGTTCAACTCTGTGAGGTGAATGCAAACATCCCAAAGAAGTTTCTGAGAATGCTTCCGTTTAGCTTTTAGGTGAAGATTATCCCGTTTCCAACGAAAGCTTCAAAGAGGTCCAAATATCCCCTTGCGGATCCCACAGAAAGAGTGTTTCGAAACTGCTGTTTCAAAAGGAATCTTCAACTCTGTGAGTTGAATGCAATCATCACAAAGAAGTTTCTGACAATGCTTCTCTCTCGTCTTTCTGTGAACATAAAGGAAAAGGCGTTCAGGCCTTTGCCACCACAGGCCTGAAAGCGCTCCAAATGTCCACTTGCAGATTCTGCCAAAAGAATATTTCAAAACTGCTCTATGAAAAGCAATGTTAAACTCTGTGGCTCGAACACAAACGTCACAAAGCGGTCTCTGAGAATGCTTCAGTTTAGTTTTTCTGTGGAAATATTCCCGTTTCCAAAGAAATCTTCAAAGAGGTCCACGTATCCACTTACAGATTCTACAAAAAGACAGTTTCAAAACTGCTCAATCAAAAGGAGGGTTCAACTGTGTGACTTGAATGCAATCATCACTCAGAAGTTTCTGAGAATGCTTCTCTTTAGTTTTTACGTGAACATATACCCGTTTCGAACGAAGGCCACCCAGTGGTCCAAATGTCCACTTGCAGATTCTACAGAAAGAGTGTTTCGAACCTGAACTCTCAAAGGCAGGTTCATCTCTGCGAGTTAAATGCATTCATCATGAAGAACTTTCTCAGCGTGTTTGTGTTTAGTTATGGGAAATTATTCCCGTTCCCAACGAAATCCTCAGAGAGGTGCAAATGTCCACCTGCAGATTCTACCAAAAGTGTATTTGGAAACTGCTCCATCAACAGGCATGTTCAGCTCTGTGAGTGAAACTCCATCATCACAAAGAATATTCTGAGAATGCTTCCGTTTGCCTTTTATATGAAGTTCCTTCCTATACGACCGTAGGCCTCAAAGCAGTGCAAATCTCCATTTGCAGATTCTACAAAAAGAGTGATTCCAATCTGCTCTATCAATAGGATTGTTCAACTCCATGAGTTGAATGCCATCCTCACAAAGTCGTTTCTGAGAATGCTTCTATCTAGTTTTTATGTGAAGATATTTCCTTTTCCACCACAGGCCTCAAAGCCCTCCAAACGTCCACTTGCAGATTCTCGAAAAAGAGTGTTTCATAGCTGCTCTTTCAAAAGGAAAGTTCAACTCTGGGAGTTGAATACAAACATCACAAAGTAGTTTCCGAGAATGCTTCTGTTTAGTTCTTATGTGAAGATGATCCCGTTTCCAGTGAAATCTTCAAAGAGGTCCACATATCCCCTTGCAGATTCCAAAGAAAGAGGGATTCAAAACTGCTCCATCAAAAGGATTGTTCAACTCTGTGAGTTGAATGCTGTCATCGCAGAAAACTTTCTGAGAATGCTTCTGTCTAGGTTTGAGGTGAAGATATAGACGTTTCAAACGAAGGCTACAAAGTGGTCAAAATATACACTTGCAGATTCTACTACAAGGGTGTTGCAAACCTGAACTATCAAAGGAAGGTTCAACTCTGTGAGTTGAATACAAACATCACAAAGAATGTTCTGAGTTTGCTTCCGTTCAGTTATGGGAAGTTGATCCCGTTTCCAACGAAATCCTCAGAGAGTTCCAAATATCCCCTTGCAGATTCTACAAAACGTGTGTTTGGAAACTGCTCCATCATAACGAATGTTCAGCTCTCTGAGTTAAACTCCATCGTCACAAAGAATTTTCTGAGAGTGCTACCGTCTGGTTTTTATATGAAGTTCTTTCCTTTACTACCACAGGCCTCAAAGCGATCCAAGTCTCCACTTGCAGATTCTACAAAAACAGTGTTTGCAAACTGCTCTATCAAAAGGAATGTTCAACTCTGGGAGTTGAATGCAATCATCACAGAGCAGTTTCTGAGAATGCTTCTATGTCGTTTTTAGGAGAAGATATTTCCTTTTCCAACACAGTCCTCCAAGCCCGCTAAATATCCACTTGCACATTGTAGAAAAAGTGTGTCGAAGCTGCGCTATCAAAGGGAAAGTTCAACTCTGTGAGGTGAATGCAAACATCCCAAAGAAGTTTCTGAGAATGCTTCCGTTTAGCTTTTAGGTGAAGATTATCCTGTTTCCAACGAAATCTTCAAAGAGGTCCAAATATCCCCTTGCAGATCCCACAGAAAGAGTGTTTCGAAACTGCTGTTTCAAAAGGAATCTTCAACTCTGTGAGTTGAATGCAATCTTCACAAAGAAGTTTCTGACAATGCTTCTCTCTCGTCTTTCTGTGAAGATAAAGGAAAAGGCTTTCAGGCCTTTTCCACCACAGGCCTGAAAGCGCTCCAAATGTCCACTTGCAGATTCTGCCAAAAGAATATTTGAAAACTGCTCTATGAAAAGCAATGTTAAACTCTGCGGCTCGAACACAAACATCACAAAGCAGTTTCTGAGAATGCTTCAGTTTAGTTTTTCTGTGGAAATATTCCCGTTTCCAAAGAAATCTTCAAAGATGTCCACGTGTCCTCTTACAGATTCTACAAAAAGACAGTTTCAAAACTGCTCAATCAAAAGGAGGGTTCAACCGTGTGACTTGAATGCAATCATCACTCAGAAGTTTCTGAGAATGCTTCTCTTTAGTTTTTACGTGAACATATACCCGTTTCGAACGAAGGCCAGCCAGTGGTCCAAATATCCACTTGCAGATTCTACAGAAAGAGTGTTTCGAACCTGAACTCTCAAAGGCAGGTTCATCTCTGCGAGTTAAATGCATTCATCATGAAGAACTTTCTCAGAGTGTTGTGTTTAGTTATGGGAAATTATTCCCGTTTCCAACGAAATCCTCAGAGCAGCTCCAAATATCCACCTGCAGATTCTACCAAAAGTGTATTTGGAAACTGCTCCATCAAAAGGCATGTTCAGCTCTGTGAGTGAAACTCCATCATCACAAAGAATATTCTGAGAATGCTTCCGTTTGCCTTTTATATGAAGTTCCTTCCTGTACTACTGTAGGCCTCAAAGCAGTCCAAATCTCCATTTGCAGATTCTACAAAAAGAGTGATTCCAATCTGCTCTATCAATAGGATTGTTCAACTCCATGAGTTGAATGCCATCCTCACAAAGTAGTTTCTGAGAATGCTTCTATCTAGTTTTTATGTGAAGATATTTCCTTTTCCACCACAGGCCTCAAAGCCCTCCAAACGTCCACTTGCAGATTCTCGAAAAAGAGTGTTTCATAGCTGCTCTTTCAAAAGGAAATTTCAACTCTGGGAGTTGAATACAAACATCACAAAGAATGTTCTGAGTTTGCTTCCGTTCAGTTATGGGAAGTTGATCCCGTTTCCAATGAAATCCTCAGAGAGGTCCAAATATCCCCTTGCAGATTCTACAAAACGTGTGTTCGGAAACTGCTCCATCATAACGAATGTTCAGCTCCCTGAGTTAAACTCCATCGTCACAAAGAATTTTCTGAGAGTGCTACCGTCTGGTTTTTATATGAAGTTCTTTCCTTCACTACCACAGGCCTCAAAGCGGTCCAAATCTCCACTTGCAGATTCTACAAAAAGAGTGTTTGCAAACTGCTCTATCAAAAGGAATGTTCAACTCTGGGAGTTGAATGCAATCATCACAGAGCAGTTTCTGAGAATGCTTCTATGTCGTTTTTAGGAGAAGATATTTCCTTTTCCAACACAGTCCCCCAAGCCCGCTAAATAGCCACTTGCACATTGTAGAAAAAGTGTGTCAAAGCTGCGCTATCAAAGGGAAAGTTCAACTCTGTGAGGTGAATGCAAACATCCCAAAGAAGTTTCTGAGAATGCTTCCGTTTAGCTTTTAGGTGAAGATTATCCCGTTTCCAACGAAACCTTCAAAGAGGTCCAAATATCCCCTTGCGGATCCCACAGAAAGAGTGTTTCGAAACTGCTGTTTCAAAAGGAATCTTCAACTCTGTGAGTTGAATGCAATCATCACAAAGAAGTTTCTGACAATGCTTCTCTCTCGTCTTTCTGTGAAGATAAAGGAAAAGGCTTTCAGGCCTTTTCCACCACAGGCCTGAAAGCGCTCCAAATGTCCACTTGCAGATTCTGCGAAAAGAATATTTCAAAACTGCTCTATGAAAAGCAATGTTAAACTCTGTGGCTCGAACACAAACATCACAAAGCGGTTTCTGAGAATGCTTCAGTTTAGTTTTTCTGTGGAAATATTCCCGTTTCCAAAGAAATCTTCAAAGAGGTCCACGTATCCACTTACAGATTCTACAAAAAGACAGTTTCAAAACTGCTCCATCAAAAGGAGGGTTCAACTGTGTGACTTGAATGCAATCATCACTCAGAAGTTTCTGAGAATGCTTCTCTTTAGTTTTTACGTGAACATATACCCGTTTCGAACGAAGGCCAGCCAGTGGTCCAAATATCCACTTGCAGATTCTACAGAAAGAGTGTTTCGAACCTGAACTCTCAAAGGCAGGTTCATCTCTGCGAGTTAAATGCATTCATCATGAAGAACTTTCACAGAGTGTTTGTGTTTAGTTATGGGAAATTATTCCCGTTTCCAACGAAATCCTCAGAGAGCTCCAAATATCCACCTGCAGATTCTACCAAAAGTGTATTTGGAAACTGCTCCATCAAAAGGCATGTTCAGCTCTGTGAGTGAAACTCCATCATCACAAAGAATATTCTGAGAATGCTTCCGTTTGCCTTTTATATGAAGTTCCTTCCTATACGACCGTAGGCCTCAAAGCAGTCCAAATCTCCATTTGCAGATTCTACAAAAAGAGTGATTCCAATCTGCTCTATCAATAGGATTGTTCAACTCCATGAGTTGAATGCCATCCTCACAAAGTAGTTTCTGAGAATGCTTCTATCTAGTTTTTATGTGAAGATATTTCCTTTTCCACCACAGGCCTCAAAGCCCTCCAAACGTCCACTTGCAGATTCTCGAAAAAGAGTGTTTCATAGCTGCTCTTTCAAAAGGAAAGTTCAACTCTGGTAGTTGAATACAAACATCACAAAGTAGTTTCCGAGAATGCTTCTGTTTAGTTTTTATGTGAAGATGATCCCGTTTCCAGTGAAATCTTCAAAGAGGTCCACATATCCCCTTGCAGATTGCAAAGAAAGAGGGTTTCAAAACTGCTCCATCAGAAGGATTGTTCAACTCTGTGAGTTGAATGCAGTCATCGCAGAAAACTTTCTGAGAATGCTTCTGTCTAGGTTTGATGTGAAGATATAGACGTTTCAAACGAAGGCTACAAAGTGGTCAAAATATACACTTGCAGATTCTACTACAAGGGTGTTGCAAACCTGAACTATCAAAGGAAGGTTCAACTCTGTGAGTTGAATACAAACATCACAAAGAATGTTCTGAGTTTGCTTCCGTTCAGTTATGGGAAGTTGATCCCGTTTCCAACGAAATCCTCAGAGAGGTCCAAATATCCCCTTGCAGATTCTACAAAACGTGTGTTTGGAAACTGCTCCATCATAACGAATGTTCAGCTCCCTGAGTTAAACTCCATCGTCACAAAGAATTTTCTGAGAGTGCTACCGTCTGGTTTTTATATGAAGTTCTTTCCTTCACTACCACAGGCCTCAAAGCGGTCCAAATCTCCACTTGCAGATTCTACAAAAAGAGTGTTTGCAAACTGCTCTATCAAAAGGAATGTTCAACTCTGGGAGTTGAATGCAATCATCACAGAGCAGTTTCTGAGAATGCTTCTATGTCGTTTTTAGGAGAAGATATTTCCTTTTCCAACACAGTCCTCCAAGCCCGCTAAATAGCCACTTGCACATTGTAGAAAAAGTGTGTCAAAGCTGCGCTATCAAAGGGAAAGTTCAACTCTGTGAGGTGAATGCAAACATCCCAAAGAAGTTTCTGAGAATGCTTCCGTTTAGCTTTTAGGTGAAGATTATCCCGTTTCCAACGAAACCTTCAAAGAGGTCCAAATATCCCCTTGCGGATCCCACAGAAAGAGTGTTTCGAAACTGATGTTTCAAAAGGAATCTTCAACTCTGTGAGTTGAATGCAATCATCACAAAGAAGTTTCTGACAATGCTTCTCTCTCGTCTTTCTGTGAAGATAAAGGAAAAGGCTTTCAGGCCTTTTCCACCACAGGCCTGAAAGCGCTCCAAATGTCCACTTGCAGATTCTGCCAAAAGAATATTTCAAAACTGCTCTATGAAAAGCAATGTTAAACTCTGTGGCTGGAACACAAACATCACAAAGCGGTTTCTGAGAATGTTTCAGTTTAGTTTTTCTGTGGAAATATTCCCGTTTCCAAAGAAATCTTCAAAGAGGTCCACGTATCCACTTACAGATTCTACAAAAAGACAGTTTCAAAACTGCTCCATCAAAAGGAGGGTTCAACTGTGTGACTTGAATGCAATCATCACTCAGAAGTTTCTGAGAATGCTTCTCTTTAGTTTTTACGTGAACATATACCCGTTTCGAACGAAGGCCACCCAGTGGTCCAAATATCCACTTGCAGATTCTACAGAAAGAGTGTTTCGAACCTGAACTCTCAAAGGCAGGTTCATCTCTGCGAGTCAAAAGCATTCATCATGAAGAACTTTCTCAGAGTGTTTGTGTTTAGTTATGGGAAATTATTCCCGTTTCCAACGAAATCCTCAGAGAGCTCCAAATATCCACCTGCAGATTCTACCAAAAGTGTATTTGGAAACTGCTCCATCAAAAGGCATGTTCAGCTCTGTGAGTGAAACTCCATCATCACAAAGAATATTCTGAGAATGCTTCCGTTTGCCTTTTACATGAAGTTCCTTCCTATACGACCGTAGGCCTCAAAGCAGTCCAAATCTCCATTTGCAGATTCTACAAAAAGAGTGATTCCAATCTGCTCTATCAATAGGATTGTTCAACTCCATGAGTTGAATGCCATCCTCACAAAGTAGTTTCTGAGAATGCTTCTATCTAGTTTTTATGTGAAGATATTTCCTTTTCCACCACAGGCCTCAAAGCCCTCCAAACGTCCACTTGCAGATTCTCGAAAAAGAGTGTTTCATAGCTGCTCTTTCAAAAGGAAAGTTCAACTCTGGGAGTTGAATACAAACATCACAAAGTAGTTTCCGAGAATGCTTCTGTTTAGTTTTTATGTGAAGATGATCCCGTTTCCAGTGAAATCTTCAAAGAGGTCCACATATCCCCTTGCAGATTCCAAAGAAAGAGGGTTTCAAAACTGCTCCATCAGAAGGATTGTTCAACTCTGTGAGTTGAATGCAGTCATCGCAGAAAACTTTCTGAGAATGCTTCTGTCTAGGTTTGATGTGAAGATATAGACGTTTCAAATGAAGGCTACAAAGTGGTCAAAATATACACTTGCAGATTCTACTACAAGGGTGTTGCAAACCTGAACTATCAAAGGAAGGTTCAACTCTGTGAGTTGAATACAAACATCACAAAGAATGTTCTGAGTTTGCTTCCGTTCAGTTATGGGAAGTTGATCCCGTTTCCAACGAAATCCTCAGAGAGGTCCAAATATCCCCTTGCAGATTCTACAAAACGTGTGTTTGGAAACTGCTCCATCATAACGAATGTTCAGCTCCCTGAGTTAAACTCCATCGTCACAAAGAATTTTCTGAGAGTGCTACCGTCTGGTTTTTATATGAAGCTCTTTCCTTCACTACCACAGGCCTCAAAGCGGTCCAAATCTCCACTTGCAGATTCTACAAAAAGAGTGTTTGCAAACTGCTCTATCAAAAGGAATGTTCAACTCTGGGAGTTGAATGCAATCATCACAGAGCAGTTTCTGAGAATGCTTCTATGTCGTTTTTAGGAGAAGATATTTCCTTTTCCAACACAGTCCTCCAAGCCCGCTAAATAGCCACTTGCACATTGTAGAAAAAGTGTGTCAAAGCTGCGCTATCAAAGGGAAAGTTCAACTCTGTGAGGTGAATGCAAACATCCCAAAGAAGTTTCTGAGAATGCTTCCGTTTAGCTTTTAGGTGAAGATTATCCCGTTTCCAACGAAACCTTCAAAGAGGTCCAAATATCCCCTTGCGGATCCCACAGAAAGAGTGTTTCGAAACTGCTGTTTCAAAAGGAATCTTCAACTCTGTGAGTTGAATGCAATCATCACAAAGAAGTTTCTGACAATGCTTCTCTCTCGTCTTTCTGTGAAGATAAAGGAAAAGGCTTTCAGGCCTTTGCCACCACAGGCCTGAAAGCGGTCCAAATGTCCACTTGCAGATTCTGCCAAAAGAATATTTCAAAACTGCTCTATGAAAAGCAATGTTAAACTCTGCGGCTCGAACACAAACATCACAAAGCGGTTTCTGAGAATGCTTCAGTTTAGTTTTTCTGTGGAAATATTCCCGTTTTCAAAGAAATCTTCAAAGAGGTCCACGTATCCACTTACAGATTCTACAAAAAGACAGTTTCAAAACTGCTCCATCAAAAGGAGGGTTCAACTGTGTGACTTGAATGCAATCATCACTCAGAAGTTTCTGAGAATGCTTCTTTTTAGTTTTTATGTGAACATATACCCGTTTCGAACGAAGGCCACCCAGTGGTCCAAATATCCACTTGCAGATTCTACAGAAAGAGTGTTTCGAACCTGAACTCTCAAAGGCAGGTTCATCTCTGCGAGTTAAATGCATTCATCATGAAGAACTTTCTCAGAGTGTTTGTGTTTAGTTATGGGAAATTATTCCCGTTTCCAACGAAATCCTCAGAGAGCTCCAAATATCCACCTGCAGATTCTACCAAAAGTGTATTTGGAAACTGCTCCATCAAAAGGCATGTTCAGCTCTGTGAGTGAAACTCCATCATCACAAAGAATATTCTGAGAATGCTTCCGTTTGCCTTTTATATGAAGTTCCTTCCTATACTACCGTAGGCCTCAAAGCAGTCCAAATCTCCATTTGCAGATTCTACAAAAAGAGTGATTCCAATCTGCTCTATCAATAGGATTGTTCAACTCCATGAGTTGAATTCCATCCTCACAATGTCGTTTGTGAGAATGCTTCTATCTAGTTTTTATGTGAAGATATTTCCTTTTCCACCACAGGCCTCAAAGCCCTCCAAACGTCCACTTGCAGATTCTCGAAAAAGAGTGTTTCATAGCTGCTCTTCCAAAAGGAAAGTTCAACTCTGGGAGTTGAATACAAACATCCCAAAGTAGTTTCCGAGAATGCTTATATTTAGTTTTTATGTGAAGATGATCCCGTTTCCAGTGAAATCTTCAAAGAGGTCCACATATTCCCTTGCAGATTCCAAAGAAAGAGGGTTTCAAAACTGCTCCATCAGAAGGATTGTTCAACTCTGTGAGTTGAATGCAGTCATCGCAGAAAACTTTCTAAGAATGCTTCTGTCTAGGTTTGATGTGAAGATATAGACGTTTCAAACGAAGGCTACAAAGTGGTCAAAATATACACTTGCAGATTCTACTACAAGGGTGTTGCAAACCTGAACTATCAAAGGAAGGTTCAACTCTGTGAGTTGAATACAAACATCACAAAGAATGTTCTGAGTTTGCTTCCGTTCAGTTATGGGAAGTTGATCCCGTTTCCAACGAAATCCTCAGAGAGGTCCAAATATCCCCTCGCAGATTCTACAAAACGTGTGTTTGGAAACTGCTCCATCATAACGAATGTTCAGCTCCCTGAGTTAAACTCCATCGTCACAAAGAATTTTCTGAGAGTGCTACCGTCTGGTTTTTATATGAAGTTCTTTCCTTCACTACCACAGGCCTCAAAGCGGTCCAAATCTCCACTTGCAGATTCTACAAAAAGAGTGTTTGCAAACTGCTCTATCAAAAGGAATGTTCAACTCTGGGAGTTGAATGCAATCATCACAGAGCAGTTTCTGAGAATGCTTCTATGTCGTTTTTAGGAGAAGATATTTCCTTTTCCAACACAGTCCTCCAAGCCCGCTAAATAGCCACTTGCACATTGTAGAAAAAGTGTGTCAAAGCTGCGCTATCAAAGGGAAAGTTCAACTCTGTGAGGTGAATGCAAACATCCCAAAGAAGTTTCTGAGAATGCTTCTGTTTAGCTTTTAGGTGAAGATTATCCCGTTTCCAACGAAACCTTCAAAGAGGTCCAAATATCCCCTTGCGGATCCCACAGAAAGAGTGTTTCGAAACTGCTGTTTCAAAAGGAATCTTCAACTCTGTGAGTTGAATGCAATCATCACAAAGAAGTTTCTGACAATGCTTCTCTCTCGTCTTTCTGTGAAGATAAAGGAAAAGGCTTTCAGGCCTTTTCCACCACAGGCCTGAAAGCGCTCCAAATGTCCACTTGCAGATTCTGCGAAAAGAATATTTCAAAACTGCTCTATGAAAAGCAATGTTAAACTCTGTGGCTCGAACACAAACATCACAAAGCGGTTTCTGAGAATGCTTCAGTTTAGTTTTTCTGTGGAAATATTCCCGTTTCCAAAGAAATCTTCAAAGAGGTCCACGTATCCACTTACAGATTCTACAAAAAGACAGTTTCAAAACTGCTCCATCAAAAGGAGGGTTCAACTGTGTGACTTGAATGCAATCATCACTCAGAAGTTTCTGAGAATGCTTCTCTTTAGTTTTTACGTGAACATATACCCGTTTCGAACGAAGGCCACCCAGTGGTCCAAATATCCACTTGCAGATTCTACAGAAAGAGTGTTTCGAACCTGAACTCTCAAAGGCAGGTTCATCTCTGCGAGTTAAATGCATTCATCATGAAGAACTTTCTCAGAGTGTTTGTGTTTAGTTATGGGAAATTATTCCCTTTTCCAACGAAATCCTCAGAGAGCTCCAAATATCCACCTGCAGATTCTACCAAAAGTGTATTTGGAAACTGCTCCATCAAAAGGCATGTTCAGCTCTGTGAGTGAAACTCCATCATCACAAAGAATATTCTGAGAATGCTTCCGTTTGCCTTTTATATGAAGTTCCTTCCTGTACTACCGTAGGCCTCAAAGCAGTCCAAATCTCCATTTGCAGATTCTATAAAAAGAGTGATTCCAATCTGCTCTATCAATAGGATTGTTCAACTCCATGAGTTGAATGCCATCCTCACAAAGTAGTTTCTGAGAATGCTTCTATCTGGTTTTTGTGTGAAGATATTTCCTTTTCCACCACAGTCCTCAAAGCCCTCCAAACGTCCACTTGCAGATTCTCGAAAAAGAGTGTTTCATAGCTGCTCTTTCAAAAGGAAAGTTCAACTCTGGGAGTTGAATACAAACATCACAAAGTAGTTTCCGAGAATGCTTCTGTTTAGTTTTTATGTGAAGATGATCCCGTTTCCAGTGAAATCTTCAAAGAGGTCCACATATCCCCTTGCAGATTCCAAAGAAAGAGGGTTTCAAAACTGCTCCATCAGAAGGATTGTTCAACTCTGTGAGTTGAATGCAGTCATCGCAGAAAACTTTCTGAGAATGCTTCTGTCTAGGTTTGATGTGAAGATATAGACGTTTCAAACGAAGGCTACAAAGTGGTCAAAATATACACTTGCAGATTCTACTACAAGGGTGTTGCAAACCTGAAATATCAAAGGAAGGTTCAACTCCGTCAGTTGAATACAAACATCACAAAGAATGTTCTGAGTTTGCT